>NC_000012.12:77005582-77157097 GCF_000001405.40 Homo sapiens
TGACACAAACATTATCCTCATTGTACAGAGGAGAAAACTGAGGTCCCACAGCAAGTAAATGGCAGAGCCCTGGAATCCCAAACCCATGCTCCTAACCACTAAACAATCCCTTCTCATGTTAAGTGGGGGAAATAATTGGCTTCTGGCATGAGAGAACTGAGCTCTTTACACTCTGTTTAAATGTTTTCCATGTTAATTAGATCTAAAATGTAACTGTCAGAATTATTCTCCATTTTTCCGTCCAACCTGGGTCTGAAGAAAGGCAGTCTGCCTTCAGTTAGTTGTATGGCACCAACAGCCTGCTGGCAAACAGTATGTGCAAATACTTGCTGACACAGACCAAAAGTTTGAACTTGAATAACTTTATTTCAAGAGAAGACTTTTAAAAATACTTCCCTTTAGAGAGTAACCACAAGACAAGGTTATACTTTAAGAAAACAAGTTGAAGTAGAGAAGATAGTTTTTTAAAAATATTATTTTACTTTTTATAAGTCAGAAACCATATGGAATTTCCACTCTTGCCTAGCTCGTAAATGACTTCACCTGGTTTTCTTGAAACTTGACCCTCCAAACTCCAAACTCAGCAAAGTCTAAAGATGAGTTGGTATCTGGAATTGATATTCTACAGGCCAGTCTCTTACACAGGGCAAGTTGTTCAGGAAGGAAGGGAGACTTAAAGATAGGGAGGAATGAGACATCCTTTTCAGCCATCGCATTTTGACCTGATCTTACCTCTCAAAGCCCTAATGTTTCTATTTCTGGACTAGAAAAGTACTTCTCTTGTCATTTGCTTTTGATATTTTTCGAGGAAATGAGGACAATTAGTATACTCTTCTAGGAGCATTTTTATACCATGATCTATATATACAAAGCAGGCGATTGAACAGAAACATAGGGGCACCTTGGGCATCTGATTACTTGGTGCCCTTTGGTTTAATATTTTTAGATATTTGGCAGGGTGTGGTGGCTCACGCCTATAATCCCAGCATTTTGGGAGGCCAAGGCAGGTGGGTCACTTGAGCTCAGGAGTTCGAAACCAGCCTAGGCAACATGGCGAAACCCTGTCTCTACAAAAAAATACAAAAAATTAGCCAGGTGTGGTGGCAGCACCTGTGGTCCCAGCTACTTGAGAGGCTGAGACAGGAGGATCACTTGAGCCGGAAGGGGACAGGGGACAGAGTTTTAGTGAGCCAAGATCGCACCACTGTACTCCAGCCTGGGTGACAGAGCGAGACTCTGTCTCAAACAACAATAACAACAATGTTTTTAGGTATTTATTAAATGTTTATTTAATGGTGGTGTGGTTGTGACTAAAAGGAGTAATTTCTGTTTTTTATGTAGTAATAATTTCTACTTTCCCAGAAGCAGGAGCAACGTACATTTTGCTAGTTACAAAAGATAGCTGTGGAAAGTAGAGGTAGTTGGTATATATTTCGTCTCTCTCTCTCACACACATATATGTTCCTGCAATACTTGGGTGAATCTTTGTGGATTTGTTGAGCTAGCCTGATGCTCAATCTGGCTCTGAATGCCAGGTTTCCCTTGTATCAGTTAGCAGTTGCTGAATAACAAACTACCCCAAAATGTAGTGGCTTAAAACAACAACTCTTTATTATTATTCACTAGTCTATTGGGAATAGACAGTTGATAGAACTCTAAGATAAACAGACCCGCCCAGTAGACTAGGGAATAATAATAAAGAGTTTTTGTTTGTTCTTTGAGATGGAGTTTCGCTCTTGTTGCCCAGGGTTGGGATTACAGGCGCCTGCCATCATGCCCGGCTAATTTTTGTATTTTTAGTAGAGATGGGGTTTCGCCTTATTGGCCAGGCTGCTCTGGAACTCCTGACCTCATGATCCGCCTGCCTCGGTCTCCCAAAGTGCTGGGATTACAGGCGTGAGCCACTGTGCCCGGCCAAGAGTTGTTGTTTTAAGGGCTGTGCTTTACTAATTTAGCTGGGCTTGTTCATGTGTTTTCTGTTATCTGGTTGAGGAAGGTTGCTCCTGGCATGAATTTACTCCACTCTAAGTAGTCTCTCTCTCATCTTCCAGTTGGCTTAGCCCAGACAGTTTCTCAGGGTTGAGGCAGAAATCCAAAGACGAGAAAACTGAAGCACATGAGTTCTCTTGTGGTCTGGCTTCAAATTGATGTCATCATTTCTGCTATATTCTGTTAGCCAGAGCAAGTCACAAAGCCAGCCAGGTTTAAGAGGTGAGGAAATAGACTCTACCAGCTGATAGGAAGAACTGCAAGTCACGTTGCAATGAGCATGGATAAACGGGGTGGGTAGAGAATAGGAGCCATATTTATGATCAATCTATCATGGTCTGTAACTGTGAAATCATGAAGTGAATAGAGTTTGTCTTTGGTAAGTCACTTTTCAGTTTTTAAATAGTATATGTTAGTGGAAAGATTGGTGGATTTGGGGTCAAGGACCCAGGGTCAAGTCTTAGCTCTGCTTTTTTATTTGGCAAATCATTTTGCTCTCTAAGCATGAATTTGTTTGTCTTTAAAATGGGGTGATGACATTTATCTACCTGTCTTCTAATTTTTTTTGACATGTAAACTCTCATGTTTAATAAGTAAGGTGAAAAAGACTCTCCTTCTTAGCTATTCAGAGCCTTTATGCTGGCTCTTGGCTGCTGAAGCTCCATCCACCACCACCACCACCATCTTGTCTCATCCCATGCAAATATCTCCTGTTCCCCTTAGGTTTGCTTCCCCAGTCTCTTCTCCCACCCTGATCTGGACTTTCCTCAATTCTCACTTTATTTCCCTGTCAAATGTGAACTCTCTTAATTGTTTTTCTTGCTTTAAAATTGTGTAGCTAATTTGATAAATGACTTCAACCAAAAATGATATTGTTTCTAGATAAAACTGGTATTTTTGCATCAGCCTACTGAGGAAATCAGCTATGTCCATGCTTCTGTTAAGCTGCCCTAGATTTGCAAAGCACTTTACATGTGCCTCTTCAATAGTTATCACCATCTCTGGAGCCCTGATAAGGGCTTTAGATACATTTTCCTCATAATCTTGACCAAAAGTTAAGAGCCTCAGCCCTGCCACTGACTAGCATTGTGATTTTAGGGGTGTCACCTCCATTTACACTTATTTTTTTCTTACCTCTAAACAGGGAAAATTTGATAAATTGATCTCGAGAGGCCCCTCAAACACTTGAATTTATGACATTCTAGAATATTTACAAAATAAAACATGGAGAATCCAGTATTGTTTTGAATATTTCTTTATTTTGTAGTTTAGCAAGTCAAGTATTCTGTAGCCAATGATGTCTTAGAAAAGAGGTAATTATGATCATAATTAAAATAACAAATATAAGTAAACCTAAATCCCTTCTTGGCAAGAGGTTGTTTTTTATAAAAATCATCTCATCTCTGTTTTGCTGTTCTGATATCATTTGAAGAGTTTTCATTCTGTGATCAATGGTAATATCTGATATGAGAAATATTATTTATATAGTAGAATGGATGATAGCAAGAGAAAAAGTGAGAAAGGAATGAGAGAAGGGAAGAAGCTAACACTAACTCAACTCTTATTCTGTGCATAGTAAGAAATGATTACAGAAACATGACCCTTGGCAGAGATTGCTAGGTATTCTCCAAATTCTGGGTTCCTTTCTTCTGGGCACTCGGGCAGGTTATATCTCTCAGCTTCTTGCAGATGGCTGTGTCTCTGTGCCTGAGTACCAGCTGATGGAATGTGAGTGGAAGTCGTGTCCCATCTCCTGGTCTGACTTCCAAAAGCCTCTCAAATATGCTCCTTCCCCTTTTCCCTGCTTCCAGCTTCCCTGGGTGAAAATGATGCCTAGGTGATCTTGAAAGTCCTGTGTTGATGACCGCAGAACTGCCGTCAACCTGTTCCCCTGAAGCAGAGGCATGCTGCTGATGAGGTATGCCTACCTTGCCCTACAAGGTGAGCGAGAAGAAAACCTGCATAGTGTTTGAACCATTATGCACTTTGCAGTCCATTTGTTACAGGAGTTTAACATACTCCAATTAATATACAACATTAATCTTCAAATCATTCCTATGAGGTAGATAGTACTTACCTTTATTTTTACAGAGGAAAAACTGAGGCCCCAAATGAGATGGGAACTTTCTCAGGTTATACAAGTGGCAAAGCAAGATTCAAACTGGGGTCACAACTCCCCTCATACCGCAAACATTTCTTTCATGCATCAAGAGACTACCAGAATTTTAATGTAGAAATTTTCATCATATTTCTACATGTTGGGCAAAGATGTTGAAAGATAGTAATTCCCACATCATTCTGTGTCCAATATGAGCTAGAGGCAATGTGCCACAATGGCGTTAGGTTCTGACAGAATCTAGGCAAGTCATTTAACTTCTAAGGGCCTGAGCTTTCCAATCCAGATAATTAAAGTAAAAATTAAGATAGAAAACTGGCTGGGCGCAGTGGCTCACGCCCGTAATCCCAGCACTTTGGGAGGCTGAGGCAGGCGTATCACGAGGTCAGGAGATTGAGACCATCCTGGCTAACACGGTGAAACCCCGTCTCTACTAAAAAATACAAAAAATTAGCCGGGTGTGGTGGCGGGCGCCTGTAGTCCCAGCTACTCTGGAGTCTGAGGCAGGAGAATGGCGTGAACCCGGGAGGCGGAGCTTGCAGTGAGCCGAGATCGTACCACTGCACTCCAGCCTGGGCGACAGAGGTAGACTCCGTCTCAAAAAAAAAAAAAAAAAAGAGAGAAAACCAGATTTTCCTAACTGGTAAGCCAGTTTCCATTCCCATTTCCCCTTCCTTAAAACAACAATTTACCTTTTGTCCAACTCAATCTTAAAAAGTTGTCCCATTCTGAGGCATAAAAACCTTCAAAAAGTGGGGTTGAGTATTAAAATAAATAATGCATGTTAAGCACTCGCATAGTGCCTAGCATATAATAGGTGCTCAATACAATCATAATCTTTTAAATAAGGCAAAATTGGCCCTTATGAGCACAGTGTTTGTGTACTATGTTCAGAGTTGCTCAAGCATTCTGGATTTCCTTTTCTTGCATTTCTCTATTGGGATGGGATTTGCCTTATGATTAGCATAAGTTATAAGCATCTTGGTCTGTTCTTCAGGAAAAGGAGGTAATTTGGGCTGCAGGCATGTTCTCATTGGAGAAAATGAGGGCAATTAATGGTTAGTGTTCAAGAACAACAAAGCTCTTTCAGTTGCTTAGCAACTGAAGCTAAGGGGTGGGCAGACACTGTGTGAACAGTGGGGAAGAGAGAAGCAGGGAGGAGTGTAAAAATGAATTTAACGTCCGGCTCATTCCCAGGTGGGTGAAAAGTGATTTATGTAGCTCTGGTATTTATAGCTATTTATTTGTTACATGACTGGAAATTTTAATGAAATATTTTGAAATTCAGCAGTGGTAAGTCACAGTGGACATTTATTGCTCTAATGCAAGGGAAATGTAAACTGTTTATTTAACACGTTGATTGCAAATGAAATATAGAAATGGTTTAGAAGTCTTCTAGCTTTGGAAATCCGTCAGGCTGCACAGACACTACTGCCACCGTGTGGACAATGCGGGGAGCCTAGCGGGAGCTGAGGGATGGGTATAAGAAGCTCTATCTCTGAGACCTTCCGATGGTTTTGCTCACGTGCCCCTGAAAATAATTTTGAAAACTTATGGCACATTTTTAAGTTGATATGTAAACATTTTAATTATAAGTTTAAATGGTTGTAAATAATATAATCTCTTATGGTTCATGAATATTGACATTTCAAAATAAAATTGCTATATTTCTCCTTTAAATGTATAGAAGGGAATTTAAATACCAGTGGGATTTGATATTCACCATCAGCTATTTTTAAATTACACAAAAAAGCTTTTATAAATGAGTAATTTTCACATAATTCCTTTTCCTCCTTGGTCTTATATTTGAATTCCATTTCCCCAATAGACTTAAATTCTGTTTTACACACATTTATGTTTTAATATATAATGCTATATTTAATATTATGTATATATAAAACACTATATATATTTCTCTATAACAAAAATAAATATAAATTAAAAGTTAAGTTATAATTTTTTCTGTTGACCACAAGGCTTTAGTTATCTACATTTTTAAGTATACAACTGATTGAAACACAAATGTTAAAATATTTATTGAAAATAATTTTATTTACTTTATTTAAATTTATTTAAAATAATTATTAAACATTAAAAAGTAATTAATACTTGAGATATATGAAGCTTTAAAAATTAGTTTACATATCCATGATGAATATTATTGCTAGAATGAGACAAGGGTCAGCATCGATACTATTCATATTTATCATTTTTCTCTAGTTGTAAGCCTCAAGAAACTTCAGTCACAGAAATAAGTATGGAAGAAATTTTATTAGGCAGCATTAACTGAATTTTTAGAACAATTTCCAAGTTATTTGCCCTAAATGATGTATACTTTTTTAAAAAATTTATTTTATTTTTGAGACAGAGTCTCGCTCTGTCGCCCAGGCTGGAGTGCAGTGGCGTGATCTCAGCTCACTGCACCTCCACCTCCCGGGTTCAAGCAATTCTCCTGCCTCAGCCTCTTGAATATCTGGGATTACAGGTGCCCACCACCAAGCGTGGCTAATTTTTGTATTTTTAGTAGAGATGAGATTTCGCCATTTTGGCCAGGCTGGTCTCGAACTCCTGACCTCAGGTGATCTTTTTTAGTAGAGATGAGATTTCACCATTTTGGCCAGGCTGGTCTCGAACTCCTGACCTCAGGTGATCTGCCTCCCAAAGTGCTGGGATTGTAAGCGAGAGCCACTGTGCCCAGCCGACTTATACTTTAAATAATTTTCTTTTTTTAATGACCAGTAGACACATTGATTAGGTTTTGCTTCAAGGTTGTTGACAGCCAAGGAATCGGAAACTACAGGACCTGCAGCAGGATTTGGTGCCCAGTCATCAGAATAATTTACTCTTTCAGCACAGACAATATTTCAAATCATCCCTGTGATGGATGTTCTAGAGGTTTCTATACCCCAGACAGGGAATGTTTGTAACCTTCAATTGCATGGGAGGTAAGCTCTTCTTTTGCAATGAGAGGGAAAATTTAGAGAAAGGGGCAATGGGAACAGAGAACTAGCTTAACAGTTGACCAGAGATTACCTAGGCAAATATATTTTAGAGATGCACCCAGATGGAATTTGAAGATATAAATAAATTAATCCCCTTAAAATTATCTGTATAGATCTATCCTTTGAAAAGTCTTTCCACACTGATGCTGAAATCACTGGTTTATCCCAAAAGCTTCTCTGTAAGGAAGCGTTTCATAAGGCTGATGCCAAAATGAGCTGCCATGGTAGGGGTCGAGGGGGCATAGTTAAGGTTTCAGTGTTGGATTCACTGAGTTTAAGTCACTATTATTTTGCTAGAATAACTTCTGCACTAAAAAAACCCCGAAAAAAACCAAACCAACAACAAAAGATGGTGTTGGGAAATGTTAGCAATGATTTTGAAAGCTCTGACTTTCTAAAATCCCATGTTGGCCATGCTGTGTTGGTCCCCTCAGTTATTATTATTATTAAATTATGCCAGTCAGGATAGCCTAAATTAGGTCGAGGTAGCAAACAACCCCAAAACTCAACAACTTGAAGACAAGTCCTTGTTCATTGCAGATTGGCTACAGCTCTGCTTCTTGCCCAAGACAGTAACAGAGCAGCCCATTTGGAGCATCTGGTTTCTTGGCAGAGAGAGAAACAAGATCTTGTAAACCATGAGCAGTCTTTCAAAACTTCTGTTTCAGGAGAACACACATCATTTCCATCTAGTTTCTTTAGAAAAAGTAAGTTCATGGCCACTCTTGAGTTCAACATGGTAAGGATGTACACACCTCCTCCAGGAAGAGATCACAGGTCTTCAAGCCAATGTAATAACTTATCACAAAAATCCAAAATCTAGGAACTGTTGATAACCATAGTAAACAGATGGTTATCATTTTCTAAAATTGTTAAAAATACAGTTGACCCTAGAACAACATGGGTTTGAACTGTGTGGGTCCACTTACACGGGACTTTTTTTCAAAACAGTTACACCCAGCAAGACTGCTTCTCCTGCCTCCCCTTCCACCTTCTCCACTTCTTCTGCCTTTTCCACCCCTGAGACAGCAAGACCAACCCTTCTCCTTCCTCTTCCTCAGCCTACTCAATGTGAAGATGATGAGGATGAAGATCTTTATGATGATCCAGTTTCATTTAATGAATAGTAAATACATTTTTTCTTCTTCATAGTTTTCTTAATGACATTTTCTTTTCTCTAGCTTACTTTATCATAGGAATACAGTATATAATGCATACAACATGCAGAATATGTGTTAATCAACTGTTTATGTTATTGGTAAGGCCTCTGGTCAACAGTAGACTATTAGTAGTTAAGTTTTGGGGAAGTCAAAAGTTATATTTAGATTTTCGACTACATGCAGGTCACAGTCCCCACCCCTTCATTGTTTAAGGGTCAACTGTATTCATTTTAATTTTACAACTTATTCCATCATACAGAAAAATACAGAGATCAATACAAAAAAGACATGAGAATTTATATCCCAAAATTACCAACTGTTAACCTTTGCTATATTTACAGCTTTTTCCACTCAGCAGTATATATTTTAGACATATCCATGTTGTTACATATAGATCTAGCTATTTCAGTTAAACTATTTAGTAGTAGTACATTATGGAAAGAGATCACAGTTTATTTATCCCTGTTGTTGGAACTTCAGTTTGTTTATATCTTTTGATTGTTACAAACAATGGCACAATAAACACTGTTATACCTGTCTCTCTGTGTACAAGAGTTTCTCTAAGATTTATGCCAACAACATAATTGAAAGGCTTCACAGAGTGGCCTTGTAGGGTTTAAAAAGCTAATTGCTTTTCAAGTTGCAGCTTTAGAAATGGCGGCTCCAAGGGGGCAGACTTCACAGGAAATGAAACTGTGGCTTAGTCCCACCCTAGACGATTTTCTTGGCAGAAAGAAGCCAAGACAGCCTCATGAGCCTCTCCCGGGCCCCTGGGCGGTGAGTAAGGAAGGCAGTAGAAAGCTTTCGTAAGGGCTGTGAGTGCCGTGGTAACATTGAACTGAGAGCCAGCTGACCTAGAGTGGCCTTGCCTTCCAATGAGGGGGGCCGAGCAAGGCCCGGCCAGGTATTCCAGGGAGTGGATTTGGCGCCCAAGGAAGTTGCCGTGACATCAAAAGGGACAACTGGGGCCAAAGAGCAGAAGGGAAAATGTACATCTTAGCTGATGACAATTTGAACAGGTAAGGACTGAGAACCAGTCTACCCTTGCTCATGGCTTGATGTGTGACTGTAGGAAGCGGGTTCAGGGCTGTAGCGAAATTGCTGTTGCTAGCTAGCATCTGTTTTATGCCTTTTCCATT
The DNA here is from genome assembly GCF_000001405.40 of Homo sapiens. Lineage (NCBI taxonomy): Eukaryota > Metazoa > Chordata > Mammalia > Primates > Hominidae > Homo > Homo sapiens. The sequence continues at coordinate 77,014,989 of NC_000012.12, forward strand.
CTAACAGAACCTGATTTTTGGTCAAGTGTTACCCTCCTCCTCCCCCAGCTTCCAGGAGCCCGTGTGCTTCAGTTCCAGGGTAGGTCGACATGGAATAAAGATAATCCTATCTGGACCTAACTTGGTGTAGAAACGGGTACGGAACCCAGTTTGGACCAATAACAATTGAGGAGATACTTACTGGGGAACTCTGAGAAAGTTCTTACCCCTCTGGAAGAACTTTGATAAGTTGTTTTCTTCTCTTCCTTTGAAGAGAAGGCTGCAGCCTGTGGATTAAACTTACATATGGAGCAAAGCGGAACCAAATGAACTGGAGCGAAAACGAGCTGGAGTCCTTGTCCTACCTCTGTGCTTTTAGTGATGTAAGCCAACAAGGCCCCTTATTGTTAAGCCTGTTTGAATTATGTTTTCAAATACTTGCCACTAAAAGTACTTCAACTGCCTCTAGAGAGTTTCAGGGAGTTGTGTGTAGAGTGGAGGCTGAATTGAATGAGACTAATTTCTGCCAGAAGGTAGAATGAGGGCTTAAAATAGAAATTAATTTCAATCCCAGAAATATATATATATATATAGGCAGCCCTTGCTTTGCCTGGTTCTAATATGCATGTATGTCAGTTGTCATGGGTTAAATAATATCAATCTTCTAATAATATGATTCAGATTTTAGTTAGTATGATACACTCTCTACATAAATAACAGATGCCCATCATGACCAACAAGCAATCATGTCATTTCTTTCTTCTTCTTTTTTTTTTTTTTTTTTTTTTTTGAGACGGAGTCTCGCTCTGTCGCCCAGGCTGGAGTGCAGTGGCTCGATCTTGGCTCACTGCAAGCTCCGCCTCCCGGGTTCACGCCATTCTCCTGCCTCAGCCTCCAGAGTAGCTGGGACTACAGGCGCCTGCCACCACGCCCGGCTAATTTTTTGTATTTTTAGTAGAGATGGGGTTTCACCGTGTTAGCCAGGATGGTCTCGATCTCCTGACCTCGTGATCCACCCGCCTCGGCCTCCCAAAGTGCTGGGATTACAGCCATGAGCCACTGTGCCCGGCCGTCATTTATTTCAAAGTCTGTTGTTGATGCATAAAGTCTCTCTTCATGTAGACAGCAAAGCATGGAGTAATGTTGCCTGTTTGTTTCCTAGCGTTAGACACATGACATTTAATAAAATGAATAATCAGAAGAGAGAATTGGCCAGTAAAGATGAAAGTGAAGTACCATATGAGAAACTGTAGATATGCAGTTACGGAAACTTAGGGTGAATGTATCAACCTGTGAGGAATGTGGCTGTGATGAAAACCATGAAGGTGCCCCAGAGGAAGAGATGTCTGTAAAAACTATCCATTAAATGAACTCTTGGAGATATTTTCTGCAATCAAAAGTGTAAAAGATAAAATGTTGGAAGCTGATCCAAACTTAGAAAGGAACATGACAATTCACCAAGGCATAAAAAAGATGTTCAGTACTTATCGTAAGTTATATGTTGATGAGAAGGTAAGAGTTCTTCAAGCTGCTCTTGATAAGTTTTTACAAAGAAACAAAACATTTTAATTCTCAATCTCTCTAATACTATAAATTATATACTAAATATTAGTTTTAATATCTTTTCATTTCTCTATAGCCAACAGTAAGAGAATTTTTAATATCTTGATAAAAATTTAAGAAGTCACAGAACAATTGCAATTATGCATGCATGCATGCTTTTGCAGCAATCACTTGGCTTAAAACGCCTCCCACCCAGCAATCTAATAGGCATCTTTCAAGACCAGTTCAAATGTGAAGATTGCTTTGCACACTTTCAGTATGCATGACTGTTTTTATGGTCTTGCATTACTATGTAAAGAGAGGATTGTCTGCATAATAAAATTACAACTTCCTGCACATACAAGTGTGTGGTCTGTAAAATTAATACAATCTGGGAATTGTATGGATCACCTATTTGATGGGTTTGTATGGACTACACCTATCACATTTGTTAAAACAATTTGTCTTAGCTTGGTAAGTGGCATAGCATAGGGGTGAGGGTGCAGGACTGGGAAATTTGGAGTTTTGTGCTCTAGTCTCAGCTTTGTGGTTAAATTATTGTTTAATGCAGGGCAAGTTACTTAATTTCCTTGTTTCGATTTCCTCCTTGTAAAATAGGTGCACAAATAAGACAATTTTTAAAGTTCCATTGGGCATTAAGTTTCTAGATTTCTCTACCGTTATTAAAGAGAAAAAAAGAGGGTAGAATGCCCTCCCACCAAGGCTACTTCTGTTTGCATAGGAACCATGAATGTTTATTGAGTAAATAAATAATTAGCACGACTATGGTGCAATAGAGCTATGCATAAAATGTTTGATTTTGGTGAGAAGCTTCTGTTTATTGTACTATTTTCATGTTGCCATTGCATATTAAACTACAGCTACTCTAATAAGTCAAGGTGCACTATTGTGTATCCTTTTCAGCATGGTTGATTATTTGTTCATATACTAAGCCCAATGCTGGGCCCTAGATGAGAAAAACTTAATTCCTGCCTTGAAGGATCTCACAATGGGGTGAGGAAAACAACTTCTTCCTGAGGGATGGGCATTTGAAATGGGTTTGGGAAGATGCATATGAGGTAGCCTGACAGAGGAAGAGAAATGGGGATGTCAGGGTATGTTAGAAAAAGGGAATGGCTGGCACTAAGGCATGGATGAATAAAATAATATGAAGAATGTGACCACCAAGAGTAGAGTGACAGGATGGGCAGAGGAGTGGGGAGAAGAAGGGAGTAGAGGTGGGAGATAGCACTGCAGGGTTCTGTGTAGAAATTAGAAAACACTCTAGGTATTTCTAACAGGAAGGTTTTAATACAGGGAATTAGGTGCTTACACAATTGTAGGAAGGGAGGGAAAGTGGAAGTTAAGGGGCTGCTGTGAAATGTTTTTGGATCATGCCACCGTGGCTGCTACTCAGAGGATGGGGAGAATGCTGCTGCTGCACGATGGCTGGGAACAGTGTAAAACCACTACCAGTGTCACAGCTGATACACAGTCCTGGACTAGACAGTAGAATAAAGTATGGCTGCTGCAAAAACGGAGCCTGCTGCAATTTGTGCATGAAGTGCTTCTACTGTAAGGAAGCCTCAGCTTCCTTTCTATCTACCAAATCTTGCATAAGTCTATTTTACTAACAAAATCATTTGTAGCAAGGGAATGTGGGAAATGTAGTTGCCTGCCTTGTTGCCCCTGTGATTAAAAAAACTTAGAAAAGGAGTGAAAATCAATGCTGAGGGTCAATAGGCAATATCTTGCATAGCTGGCAGGCAAGTTGAGAGCCAGGGTAGACTCTGTAGGAACTGGAAAGGCATGCCTAAGAGGAAAACACTGCATGGCATGCCACTAAAGTTTAAATGCAGAGGCCAGGCACAGCGGCTCATGCCTGTAATCCCAGCACTTTAGGAGGCCGAGGCAGGCAGATCATGAGGTCAGGAGTTTGAGACCAGCCTGACCAACACGGTGAAACCCCGTCTCTACTAAGGCAGGCAGATCACGAGGTCAGGAGATCGAGACCATCCTGGCTAACACTGTGAAACCCCGTCTCTACTAAAAATACAAAAAATTAGCTGGGTGCGGTGGCGGGCGCCTGTAGTTCCAGCTACTCGGGAGGCTGAGGCAGGAGAATGGCGTGAACCCGGGAGGCGGAGCTTGCAGTGAGCCGAGATAGTGCCACTGCAGTCCGGCCTGGGCGAAAGAGCGAGACTCCGTCTCAAAAAAAAAAAAAAAAAACAAATACAAAAATTAGCCTGATGTGGTGGCGCGGTGGCACCTGTAGTCCCAGCTACTCAGGAGGCTGAGGCAGGAGAATTGCTTGAACCCAGGAGGCGGTGGCTGCAGTGAGCTGAGATTGTGCCATTGCGCTCCCACCTGGGCAACAGAGTGAGACTCCAGCTCAAAAAAAAAAAAAAAAAAGTTTAAATGCAGAATTATCATGATTAATTTTGTTTTATGAACATTGGTGATGCTGTGGAGGCCATTCTAAAGTAAAACAAACCAACAAAAACAAGCAAAACAAACAAGCTAGGTACATGGAACCGTGCAATGAAAGAGCCCTGTAAGGTTTTTTAAAAACAATGTTTGTGCTAACTAATCCATCCCATATTCTTCCCCCCAGTTTTTTATTGAGTACACATTTTGTGGTGGGTATGGTGAATACAGATATAAATCACCTAGGGGCTCTGCCGTTAAGAAGCTAGTACTGTTTTTCTTTTCAGTGAAGAGTAAGTAATTTCAGGGTTTTTTAATGGGATTCTTTGCTTCTTGGAGTATCTTCTGCTGCTTGTAAGACAGTCTAAGAAAAAATGGTCTCATAATCAAACCAGTTTAAAAAAACACATTGTATGTATATTTCCTCTTATAAGCTTATGTCTCTAATCTTACAGTGAAAAAAAATAACTGTTTTACCAGTATTATCCATTTTTGATTCTTACTATTAAGAATATTGAGTTAATATCTTAATATTAAGAATACTGAGTTAATATCTTAATATTAAGAATACTGAGTTCTTCAGAGCACAGTTGGGGCAAGACTGGATGTTTCTATATTAACAGAAAAGACAGTCAAATTGGAGACTACCAGTGGGTTAGTTACAAAAAAAGGATTTTGATGTAAGAGTATGAAAATAAGAAAATAATTTTAGCTTTGGGTATGATTTATTAATTTCAGAAGCATTTTCGAGTAGAAAAGGACATCAAATTAAACTGATTTTCACACTAAAAACAAGTTGATAGCTATCAAAAGTTACTCTGATAAGTGTGAAATATGGAGTGCCATAACTGCAAATCCTGGACAATGGCAGCTTGTAACTATTGTAACAGGAGATTGAATGGCAAGTTTGGCTACAGCACCTAGTCACAGGAAATGCTGCATTCCAAAGGTGTTGGACTCTGCAGAATTGATGGAGGAAGTTTTACAAAACTAGTGAACCAGGTATTGAATGCGTTCACCTACAAGTCTGTGAAAGGGTTGAAGGGATGGAAAAAGAAATGGATTTAGTGAGGATCTCTTTGAAGTTATGCTGTAATTCTTCACTTCTGCCACTTATGAGCCAATAAGGGGAGGTGTTCAGGGTGATGCTTCTCTCACACCTCTTTCGTGCAGTGAGAGGTATGCTCTGGTGTCTGACTCACCTGGGGGACCAAAGGGAGATGAGTGGGCCAGCAGCTTTGGCAGTGGAGGGAGAAGCCTGTGTGCTTGGCTGGGTTTTCTCTCCTAGAATCAAGGCAAAGAGCACTGGATGTGGCTGATGGGAGATAGGGCCTGTATTAGTCCATTCTCATGCTGCTGATAAATGAACCTGAGAATGGGTAATTTACAAAGAAAAAAGAGGTTTAATGGATTCATAGCTCCACGTGGCTGGGGAGGCCTCACAATCCATGGCAGAAGGCGAAAGGCATATCTTACATGGCAGCAGCCAGAGAGCGAATGAGAGCCAAGTGAAAGGGGTTTCCTCTTATAAAACCATCAGATTTTATGAAACGTATTCTCTACCACGAGTACAGTATGGGGGAAACCACCCCCATGATTCAGTTAACCACATCAGGGCCAGACTAGGACCATTCAAAATCCTGCCCAAGGATCTGTGTGGAATGGACGGCAGGAGAACCAGCAGCAGAGAGAGAGCTGCAGCTGGAAGAATATGTATTACTTGCATCACAGTTCGGGCAAATGCTCCCAAGATGAGGCCTTCGAAGAATTCTCCACGTGAATCAGCTCAAACATCTCCAAGTGTCACCTCAGAATTTAGCAGGGGAGTCCGACAACAGTGCAACATAGATCACTCTGGAGATATAAAGAGCTAGGGGGACATCAGATTAAGTCTTCTTGCAGGTCAATTTAAAAGTAAGGCTAACAATAGAAATTGGCTCTCAATGAAAGGTGGGCATTAGCTAAAATGAGAAGCATTTGACTTAATGGATGCTACAAGAAGTTGAGGGGTGGTCTGCATTTACCTGTGATTCCTAGACTGGATAAACATCAGAATCATCTGGAAGCTCCAAACCTACAGAGATTGGGACTTAGTAGAAATCAGAAGCTCAGTTACACAGTACCTGAACCCCCGCAAGCTCCCATGTAATTCTGATGCACTAAGATTCAGCATTTAGCAACCACGGGGTGATCTCAGCAAAAAGATCTGACTTGTGTTTATGAGGGCCTGGTTGGCTATGTTGTAGCTGTTAATGGTTTTACTCAAAACAGTATGCAAAAAAAGCCTACCAAAAAATACAACCACCATCTCTTCTTAAATGAATTATTTTTTATTGCTATTTTATAAAGCTTAATATTTTCCTAAAAATATTAGAAAAAAAATCAGAACAAAAAATCAGTTTACATGTAGTACAGTTACAAGTAAATAGCTATAGATAATATAGCCATTAGGAAAAAGAGCAGAGCTAAATAATAAGAAAACAAAAGCAGTAAGCAGCAATAAAATTAATACCTACATACAACTAGCAGTGCAATAAGATAAGCAGAAAGCAGCTTTACGTTAAAAGAAAGTTATTTAAATACAGAAATAGCACCTTACAAAAAGGAATTGAGAAATGTAAACTTGGTAGGTAGATTCAAGTATAAAAGTTATACCCCCGACTCTTGTACCAGAATGAAAGGGTTTTACAAACCCTGGTCAGTGTAGGGCACACACAGCCTCTGTGACAACTCAAAAAAGCTGCATTCTCTTAGTAGGACCACCAACGATTATTTTTTTCTTTTACTAAATTATACAATAATAGACTCAAGATTGCCATTGCTTCTTCACTACCCAAAATATCCAAGTCTAGCGCAGCAGCTTCAATTCCACCAGTTGTTCTGTAAGATTTATTTTCCTGACAGAAACAACCACTGCATTATTATTTTTACATATAAAGCCACATTAAGAAGTGGATACTGAATACAGAAGCAATTGTCCTTGGTTTTCTACTCCTAAGAATGGTCACCAAGTCATAATATCCTCACCAATGGGACTGCTTCTTAACACCCCTCAGGAATTATGAATTCTGAGGTTAAATGGTCATATCATGATCAGAATAATAAAAAAAGATAGCAAAAATGTTAAAACAAGTATAGAGCATTCAGGAACAGTGAGGGGAAAAGCAATTTCTGTTTCCGTCTAAATGCAGACCTCTCCATGAAATATTTTGTGGAAGTTCTTAAGCATGGTAGAATTAACATGCATATACCCTGCACAGATTGAAACCTGAAAAAGGTATATTTTTATTTGTTTTGATAGGGAACCCATCAGTTTTAGTTCAGGGTCATTTAACCATGCAATTGTTGATGGTTAGAACCACATTTTTAACCTAACTCTATAGAAGACTGTAAAAAAGAAAAAAAAAACTTGTAAACTTTAAAAGTTTAGTGTTGATAAAAATTTTTATATAAGTAGCAAATTTATTTAATGTAGCTACCTACCTCAAGTTTTAAAAAATCTTGTGGGGGTAATAAGGCTAATATTATCCTGTAGTTAATATAAAGCTACTTTATTCAGACTCCCAGAGTCTCTTAAATTAATATTTTCATTCTTTCATATAACATTTTATTGGGTCAAAAAATAAAAATAAAATAAAACCCTACACCAGGATTCTACATCTAAGATAGTTTTAAGAGAGGAAGAGGAAGGAAGAAAAGAAGTAGGAAGGAGGGAAGGAAGAGAGAATGAAGGAAAGTAGGAAGGAAAGAAGGGAACCATTTACTCTGAAGAGACAAGAGAGAGGTAAATATCAGCAAGTCTAGGAATACAAAGAACTAGTATAGTTTGGCGACTTAATGCACCCCTAAAGTAATGTGGGTTAAAAAAGGGAAATTGCATAACAGTTTCCAGAATTGTATTCATGCTAGAACAACCAACCCGTGCGCTCACCATTCTCATTTTTCAGAGGTACCAACTAACTACAGTTTGAATACCCTTGGATATGAAACATATGTCCATTTTCCCTCTTACTCTTCTGGACATGAAGTAGAAGAAAAACAAAAGAATCATCTCTTGCCCTGTATCAATTTTCACATCATTACTCTTCAGAATTCAACGAAAAGGTCTCATCCAGGTTCCAATTTTCCATATAATCACTTTCTACCATCCTGATTTATTTTACAAACAGCAATTGTTAGAAGGCATCCATATCTGATGGCGCTACAGCTAAATATTTAAATAAAAAATGCAGGGCATGTAGTGAAGGAAACTGGGCACAGTAGGATTTTTAGAAACAAACAGTAATATCTCACTGTTCACACAGTTATTTGAGAAGCAGCAGTTAGGCTGCTAGAGTTCTAGAGTTCATCTTTGTTCTCAAGCCCACAGTCAGGGTTAGCACAGTTCATTTACAGCAAGGTGTGTCATTCACAGTTATTTTGGTCTTGACATGTGTCATGTAGATACATTTATCCACATTATTACTAGGTTGTAAAATAAGTGCAGGGCAAATTATAGAATAAAAGTATAAACATTCAAGTCGTCATACCCTGAAAAAAATGTGTTAAAGACTGTAGTTGTAAACTTTTTGCACTAAATCCCATTTCAGGAACAAAATAAATAACACCATAGGATTCACAACTGAAGGTGGCTTCCTGATGAAGCCTAAGGAAGCAGTAGCTTTTTTAAACTGCAGAAAGGAAGCTTCTCTCACCACAGATTTACTCAGGGCAAGTGGAAATACATGTTAAGAATGCTTACCCTAGTTAAGTGCTAGACAGCGCCCCCCTTTAGAAAAACAAGGCTCCGGTAGCCTATTCAGATCTACTTCCAGAATAAGACGATTCTTGAATCAAAACCATAAGTCAGTCGGCGCTTTCACTGTGACACCATGCAGAGTCGGAACTCTAACTGGTATTAAATGCACAATTAATTACTTTCAGGAAATCAGATGATTGATGGTGGTGGGAAGTTAACAGAAGTGTGGATGAAAGAGAGAGGAAGGACCCGTGCTCAGGACGGGATGGTTTGCATCCCGCCTCGGACATCCGGGACTCTCAGGGCGTTTGATCCCACCCCCACCTGGCAAAGCGGCAGGTTAGTCAGCGCCGCCGCTGGGGATTTCTAGTCTCCTCTGGGCCGAGCTGGTGTTTCGTGACTGGTTCCTTTCTCTTCTCTTCAGGACAGGGTCTCCAAGGCTGCCGGGTGTCTTGAAAAACGTCTCACGATGTGTGCGTTGGATGCTCTTGGGGGTCACTGGAACTGGTGACTGAAAAAAGAAAAAAGAAAAAACAGAAGTGAAGTCATATTGTTTCTGATCTCTGAGTAGAAAGGCAGCCCTTTCTTGACCTGTGTGTTAGGATCCCAAGGCAGGCGTTCCTTCTTCTTTGCTTTCTTATCACACTTACCCCGTTTGTCTCCCCTGCTTACCACAACTGAAAATTAAATTCATATTTGTTGTTTTGGGTGCAGAAAGGCAGTCTACCAAAGAGGTATCTTTGGTATCTGGAGCCAGGGACTGGGCTCTGCCACTGTGGACAAGTTACTTAAGCAACCTGTCCCTCAGTTTCTTCCTCCATCCAACGGCGATGGTAAAATTACTGACTTCACAAGGTTGTAGGAATTAAATAAGATAATTGTAAAGCACTTTAGAGCATGTGAGGCCAACATGGTTTGTGTGTTGGCTCTTTCTCTTTACTTGCTAATATTTATCCCCTAATGTTAAATGTTAAATATTTATTCCCTTAATGTGCCATAAAATGGCAGGGACCATTATCTTGTTCACTGGTTCACTGCTCTATCTTCACTGCCTAGATCGGTGCCTGGCACATGGTGATAGAAAATTCTATGTTATGCTATAATCATCTTGTTTCAAACCTAACATGTTCATTTCAATGTCTCGCAAACTTTTGAGCCTCTGAATAACTTGTCTAAAATATTTTTGGCTAAACATAATTCTTTGTCTGGGAGAGTAAGTAATCACTGTGAACAACCTAATGTGTAATAGGAATTCAACGAATACTTGAACTACAAATGGAGGTTGGGGGACAAATATAGACTCATTAACTTATATTGATAACGTATCTTTGTGTATATTTGTATGTTTTCTGCGTATGTATAGATGTATATACATCTATGTATTATAGATGTATATACATACAGACATTATACACACACACAGTCTCTAAACATCACATCTTAAGAAATGACTGACAGGCTAAGAATCTCTGAGTTACTATCAAGACTTCTGTTTCCTTTGATTGTTTTTATAGCTGTATAATTAAAATTTAGGGTAGCTTCTTTTATTGACCTAGTGAAATAAAAGCTTGAAGATCACCAAAATAATAAAAATATTTAGCATTCCTCAAAAATCCCCCCGAACTATGCCTAAAACAGGTCCCTCTAATTATAAGAAACAGAATGACAACTAAAAACATACATTTTTGTCTTTAAAGCACAGGATCTCTCACCTCATGTCTCAGTGCTTTATAAAAGGAGCAGATAACTCTAGGTCTACAACGGAAGCCAGGTGGAGCCTGACCTAGTGCCTCTGTCCGGCAGTCATGTGGCTAAAATGAAAGCTAAACACAGGCATACCCCTTCCCAGAGTGACAGTGTCTTCAGGAAACTTCAGGCCTCACCTGATGTAATTTTACTACTGAGACTGGATGTCCCACGTAAACGGGGGACTCAGGTTGTTGGACGACACTGTGTGACCTTGACATCACTGGACTTAGGTTTAGTGAGGGCTGACTCTGAAGCTGAGGGTCTGCAGAAGGGAGTGTGGACGACTTTGGATTAACCACAGCTGTGGGGCCGACGAGAAGCTGGGCTATTGATCCAAGGCCAGGCAAGCTGAAATTCACAGGTCCTGTGTTTGGGAGAGCACCAAGAGTAGAAGAAACCGGGCCCGGCATTGCAGGAGAATAGAGAACAGGAAAAGGGCCCAGAGGTGGAGATGGTAAGACCATGCAAGGGACACTGAAAGACGGCAGCTGACCTGAGGACGGGCCCACAGTAGGGGGGGTTTGACTGCCAGATAAAAGTACATTGAAACCATTTAATCCTGAAAGAAAAGCAGAACAGGCGAAAATCAATATATGTCATCATGAGGATATCATTCAAGCTCACATTTGTCATGGCCCTTTCAAACGGGAGTCCACAATAAATCAATGAATGATGAGACCTTCCCCCAGCTGACCAGGCCAAACAGCCCACACCCTGCTCCTTCACAGCTGTGGCCAAGATTGTAATCCCACATTTATCTGTGTGATCATTTAGTTGGTGCCTGTGAAGTTTTTAACATGAGTTCCACTGAACCCAAACTGAGAAGGCAAAAAGCTTAGATGGGAAAGATTACATCTTTATTTTTATTTATTTACTTATTTTTTGTTGTTTTGTTTTGAGACCCAGTCTTGCTCTGTTACCCAGGCTGGAGTGCAGTGGTGTGATCATGGCTTACTGTAGCCTCACCCTCCTGGGCTCAAGCAGTCGTCCCATTTCAGTCTGCAGAGTAGCTGGGACCACAAGCATGCCACCACACCCAGCTAATTTTTTTTTATTTTTTGTAGAAACAGGTTCTTCCTATGTTGCCCGGCTGGTGTCAAACTCCTGGGCTCAAGTGATCTTCCTACCTCAGCCTCCCAAAGTGCTGAGATTACAGGCATGAGCCACTGTGCCTGGCCAAAATATCTTTATAAGTTCCTAACTGAAAATTTTTATTTCCCTCAATTATCACAGGCAACAAATTAACAATTTTAACAGTACCTTGACTTTGTCATTAGGAAATAGTACAGATATGTGCATATTACATTAAACCTATTACAGATTTCTTAATATACTGTTAAGCTCATCACAACTTGGAAATTTTGACACTATTGGGCTTGCTGCCAGGTCTTTTTATTACTATCAGTAATTTTAAAAATGATTTTTCTAGTTGCATTCAATATAATTGGCTTCCTTTGTAATCCCATGTATTTAATTCTATGCATCCGTAACATTCTGAGGAGGAATTCATGGCCTTCACCAGACTGCCAAAAGGTCCATGGCACAGAAAAAGTTAAAAACCCCTGTGCTGGGCTGTAATTTTCATTCAGCAGGGGCTGAATCTATTTTTGTTCATTTGTGTATCCCCAATACTCAGTGCTTAGAGAAAGCACTAAAAGATACTTACTAAAGAAATAAAGAATTTTTTCTAGATAAGTGAATAATCATAAATACTAACCTAACCTGTTCTAGCAGGTTAGGCTTAAGCCAACAAGGAATTGAGGAAAATCAATTTAGATATCTTTGCATCAAGAGCAGCTTTATGTACAAAGTACATATTTTTAAAATCTGGCATCTGTATTTCGGCTTTAATACAAAATAGTAACAGCATTTATTGAGTCTTACTAAGTGCCAGGTGCTATTATTCTAAGTGCTTTAGATGTATTATCTTATTAAATTTAATTCAATTTTCACAGCACCCATATGAAGCAGGTGCTATTATTACTGCTGTTTAACCAATGAGGATGAAGAATACTTAAGTTCACGCAGATAATAAGTGGTTTTAAATGTCAAGCCCTCTTACTCCAGACCTGGCACTTGGCCACAATTCTATATACTCAGTACCTCTAGATGTTCAAGACCTCAAAACACTAGCTGCATGCAATGGCCAACAGGTTCACACTATTATACTAAACCAATGCTAGACTCAGCTGAATTACCGTGCTTTTTCACCAAATAATGTTTAATGTATTTTTTTTGAATCACCTGCCTCAATTATTTTCCCATTACTCCTGAAGTTGGTGAAAGTAGAAGCAGCTTCTCCCTTCATTTATAGATGGAGAAAACAAAGGGGCTAAGAGTAAAATGACTCAGGCACATCAATAAGCCACTTTGGGTCAGGTGACACAGACAAAAATTTAAAAATCCAATTCTTGATCTGACTGCCGCAAGGGACTCTAAGACATGATGACATCCCTTACCTGCAGGAGACTGCACACAAAGATATTGTAGCAAAGAAGGCTCTTTGGTGCTTTCATTTTCTTTTGAAGGCTTTTCAACATCTGTATTTCTTGAAGGATTTCCCCACTCAGAAGAAACAAGAGAGTTTGCTGTTGCCTTTCCTGAAATCTCTTCTGCAGCAGGGAGTTGGCCATTCACATGAATGTCTTTGAGGGGTATAGATGCCCTGTTACCCATAGTCTTGGGAGAGGCAAGGTCTGTGGAATCTGAGGGTTTCTAAACACAACCAAACCAGGAAGCAAGAAAGTAAGTTAAAATTCCAGTAGTAAATCTCTCTTTTTTTTTTTTGAGATGGAGTCTCACTCTGTTGCCCAAGCTGGAGTGCAGTGGCACGATCCCAGCTCACTGCAACCTCTGACTCCAAGGTTCAAGTGATTCTCCTGCCTCAGCCTCCCGAGTAGCTGGGATTACAGGGGCATCCCCCATGCCTGGCTAATTTTTGTATTTTTAGTAGAGATGGGGTTTCACCATGTTGGCTAAGCTGGTCTCGAACTCCTGACCTCAGGTGATCCGCCCGTCTCAGCCTCCCAAAGTACTGGGATTAGTAAATCTTTTTTTTTTTTGAGACAGAGTCTCGCTCTGTCACCCAGGCTGGAGTGCAGTGGCGCGATCTCGGCTCACTGCAAGCTCTGCCTCCTGGGTTCACACCATTCTCCTGCCTCAGCCTCCTGAGTAGCTGGGACTAGAGGTGCCCGCCACCACACCCAGCTAATTTTGTTTTGTGTGTATTTTTAGTAGAGACAGGGTTTCACTGTTTCAGCCAGGATGGTCTCGATTTCCTGACCCGGTGATCCGCCCGCCTCGGCCTCCAAAGTGCTGGGATTACAGGCATAAGCCACCGCGCCCGGCTGGGATTAGTAAATCTTAATAACAGCTTTCTTAATATTGCTAACACATAAAGGTAGCATATAGCTGCGTGCCACACTGATTTGTGTATGTCAGAGGTTTCCACTGTATTTGTAGGAATGGTCTGAAAAGGTCATGTCCTGTGCATTGATAGTATTGTGATTTCGAAGTAGAGAAATGACAAGAGATTTTAGCAATGGAAAACTGGCCATGGTGGTTAGACTGTGAAATATATTTCTGAGCTAGTAACACACATAAAGGGTGTTGATACTAGTCTTTTCGGGTCTTATAAGAACTGTGGGCTGGCCCAAGATGTCTTGGTTACCTAAGACATATGCCAGTCAGTCTTTCACTTCTGATCTGCAACCCCAGGCTATCTACAAAATGAGAAAAATTCACTCTGGTAAGAGAAAAAAAATAGAGAAAGGTTCTTAATTATTGTAATGATTTCCACGAAGTGTGCCCAGCCTACCTACTGCAGACCACTGTAATGACAGTGCTCCTGCTTTCTGGATTTACTGGTCATATCTCATTAACCTCTGAATGGCTACTAAGCAGGAGATGTGGACAGCTCATACTTTTGTTCTTTTCATTTTGAAGCTAGGGAAACAGGATCACTGAACACTGAAGAGAAGTGACCAAGCATAAGATCTGATAGCCAGACAGCACCCACATTCCTCCCTCTGGAACTCAGCTGCATCCTGGATTAAGATGTTTATTTCAGTGATCCTAATTTGTTTTAAAAAAAGGATGTAAAAAAGACTGGATGGAAATATATAAACATGTTAATAGTGATGCCTCTATGTGGTGGGATTCTGGGTAACTCTTCTTTATACTTTTTAGCATTTTATAGAAAGTGTGAGTTTTATAAAAATCACCTTTCTTATGCACTATTTTAAGGCAAGATTTTTGGCAGAGCCACTCCAGTGCTTAATTATGCAAGTGACATGAAACAGCTCCATATTCCAGACTCCATTGCTTATTAATATCAGTGTATCTTCATTAGGAAGAAGCTCAGGGCTAACAGGATGTCACCAGACACATCCACCTGCACTCCCTTACCTTGGGCATGACAAGCGACAGCGGGCCGTCTTCATATTCCCTACTTTGCCTTTTAGTGGCTGGCTCATCCTCCTCCTGAGGTTTCCTCTCCTCACAGAGGCGCTTCTGAGCTGAGGGTGCAGATGACAGCTCTACTGTGGCTGGGGCTTCTGAGCTTCTGTCATCCCTCTCTGACCCTGACCCTGACGCTGGTCCCTCCTGCAGACTTCCATACAGCATGAACAGTGAGGCAGAGGGCACATACACTAGAGGCTGGCCAGCAAGGAGTGCTGGCTTCAGGCTCTCCACAGCAGAGGCTGCAGAAGCAAGTGAGACATCCACTTGTCCATTCAGACCGTTCTGCATGGAGAATGCCTGCAGGTCCGTCTGAGCAACAGAAAATACTGGGTGGGCTAAAGGATTAACACAATATTCTGGGTCAACAGAGAGGACAGGGAAAGGAGCAACAGGGTCCAAGCTGCTTGATGGAGGCACCACTCTCTTACTGGCAAAGGCTTTTCCCCTATAATAAAAAAGAAACGTAACGAAGTTAGCACATTCTACCAACTCCTGACCCTTTACTTTCCCAAAGACAGCCATGCCAAATCAAGAATGAGATAATACTCCTCAGGCAGATACGAAAGCGCACTTGCTGAGCACGTGTTAGCTCATCCCAGAGTTAGACGCCCAGGTATGGCCTGGATAAATGGTTAGGATGGGGTGGGAGAGCCGAAGTGGGAAGAGCCATTGGAATCTCAGGTGAGAGTGAACATTCATTCCTCCTTCATCTCTTCCACATCTGATAGTTATCAATTATCAAGCACTTACACCCTTGCCAGGCATGTACATACTATTATAATTAGCATTAATAGTATAACAATTTTATGCAATTATTATAATAATAGCTACTCTCATTTCCCCAGTTTACTAGCGAGGAAGACTGAAGCGCAGAGGTTGATCACCCTGCCTCGGGTGAGCCAGCTCTGAAGTGAGAAGCTGGGCCCCATGCCCACATCTGTTTGATGGCAAAACCCATGTTCTCAGTGACTGTGAGAGACGCTGGGAGAGTAACAGAGACTGGACTTTGATTTAAAAAAAGATTAATCTCATTTGTCTCATTTCACAAATCCAGTATGAAAGAAATGAAGTGGACAGTGAGGAAACAAACTTATCTTCTAAATTATTATTTTCTGTCATTCTTGTCCCATTCTGCTCGGTGTTATTAACAAAATTTTAGGCAGCACACAATCAAAATTAAGTCCCATAAATGTACAAGTTTATAGGCCAGCAGGGTGGCTCATGCCTCCTGTGGGGGGCCTAGGAGGATTGCTCGAGCCCAGGAGTTTGAGGCTGCAGTGAGCTACGATCACGCCACTGCACTCCAGCCTGGGTGACCCTGTCTCTAAAATAAGAAAATGAAATAAATAAGATATAAACAATGTTTGGGCCTTTTGTTTGGAAAAATTTCCAAATATTTAAAACCATGTTTATGTTCTTAGTATATTTTTAGGAATAGAGAAGAACGATCCTTTAAGAAATAGGAACAGAGGGCCAGGCGTGGTGGCTCACGCCTGTAATCCCAGCACTTTGGGAGGCTAAGACAGGTGGATAACCTGAAGTCAGGAGTTCAAGACCAGCCTGGCTAACATGGCGAAACCCCGTGTCTACTAAAAATACAAAAATTAGCTGGGCATGGTGGCACACGCCTGTAATCGCAGCTACTCTGGAGGCTGAGGCACAAGAATCGCTTGAACCCGGGAGGCGGAGGTTGCAGTGAGCTGAGATCATGCCACTGCACCCCAGCCTGCGCAACAGAGTGAGACTCTGTCTCCAAAAAGAAAAAGCAAAAAGCAGAAAACAAAACAAAACAAAATAAAAACACACAACAAAAAAAACAGTAAACAGAGGACCAGGATTTCTTTCCGTCTTTCTGATGGAATCATGGAAGACCTGTTTTGCCTACCATCTCACTGCCTACTGCGCTGCTGAGAATAAAATGCAGTACCCTGGGCCGCAGAGATGAGTCATCTCTCCAATCAGCTGCCTCTGGTTGAGTAATGGGTATTGCTCAGCTCTGTGAAACTGAACATGCCCACCCTGGGTATATCACCCACCATCCCTCCACCCAGCCATCCACCTTCAACTTCTCCATCTCCACCAATGACATCACTATCACCTGACATGCAGACATTCTTTCTGATGCCTGTCTCCTTTAGCGAGCCCTGCCAACTCACTGTCTCACACTGGTTTCCCTTTCTTTCCACCTCTGGTGAGCACAGCTCAGCTCTGCCCTACAGCAGACCAGAACGACTACAAATGCTCTGTTCTGTGGCCTGTCTTTCTCTACTCCTAATCCCACCTGCAAAAAGTAGCCAGGATGATCTTCATCAGTGAACCTCCAATAGCTCTTTATGGTTTCCCTGATGAATCCAACTCTTCTCTGGCTTTCAAAGCTTTTTGCCAACTTGACCTACTTGCCTCCAACACCTAACCTCTTTTGCTGAATGATTTTTCCTTTTCCTGTCCTGTTTGGACAAACCATGACAGCAAAACGAGCCAGGCTTTGGTATCTTCTGCTCCCTGGCCCTGCCTTGTAATCTGCTTCTTCCCACATCTGTTGTTAAACACTTTTCTAATTACTCTGTTTAGCGTTTCTTCTGCTTTCTCTGGTGACACATGATTTCTTTCAAAATTGGGCCCCAAATTTAAGTCAGACAGCCTGGGTATGAATCCCAGCTTTGTCACCTATTAGCAATGTGACTGGGCAAGTTACATAACCTTTTTGCACTTCAGCTTCCTCTCTGTAAAATGAGGGTAATACCTCTCTGTAAAACCTCAAAGGATTGCTCTTATGATCAGATGAGTCAATATACACTAAGGCTCCTGGAACGGTACCTGGTAGTTAGTGGCAAAACCAACTATGATAATGATGAAGTGATTCATGGAACTCTGATACTTCATTTCTCAGGGTCATGTTAATTATGAATTGTCTCTTTTCCGTGTTGGTCTTTTTATCTTGTTCCTATAAGCCATCATAGCTTACAGGATACATTTTTCATACTTTTGTATCCCTGATGCTACTTCCTGCACAGTGTAGGGCACAAAGAGAAAACTTACCAATTCCTAACAAATAAACGGCTGACCTAAATTTTTTCTTTTGATGGGTGGCACTGCAATTTAGTCAAAGTTAACACTAGGAGATAGAAAAGAATACACTCTGAGCTTTTATAGACTACTTACTGTGAATTGTCTTCTATTTTCTGTCTATAGACAGCTGCCAGGCTTCCAATTTCTAAAGAGTAGCCACCTGATCCTGAAAAGGAAGATGAAGGCTTAACAAATATAGCAAGAGACTTATACATACCAACTATATACTGAGAATTATCTAGCTGAGAATTCATTATTCTCAGCTCAAAGATTACTCAAATCTGTTATGGTTTTGATTCAAAGAGAAATTTTCAGTAGCTAGCTGTTCATGAATTCAGGTCTCATTAAGAATTCAAAATAAGCCTGGGCAACACAGGGAGACCCCGTCTCTACAAAAAACGAAAAATTAGCCAGGCATGGTGATGCACGCCTGTGGTCCCAGCTACTTGGGAGGCTGAGGTGGGAGGACTCTTTAAGTCTGAGAGGTCAAGGCTGCAGTGAGCCGTGATCATGCCACTGTACTCCAGCCTGGGTGACAGAGTGACCTTTCTCTCAAAAGAAAAAGAAAAAGAAAAAAGAAGTATTTAAAACAAGCATTGCTTTAAGTCTAATGAATTTCTGAGATACATCAAATAGGGTCAACTATGCCAAACCAATTGGTCTACAAGGTGACTAGGATCAATTTTAGGCAAGGGGTCATGTTCATAGACTGTGATATCAGCATCTCCTTTGCTTCCAATAATTGTTTCACTTCAGCTAAGTAAAAAGTAGACCACTGGAAAAAACAGCCAGGGCTGAGAGTCAGTTTGTTTTAAAACGCCAGCACGTGGGTGCTGCACTGGCATGGGCTACAGCTACATGGCAACTGATGGACTCCATAGATTATGCAAGGGCAGATACCTTGTTCTTCTCTGTACGGGCTGCTCGGTTCTGAGTTCACTTTCCTCTGGATCCTCTCAGAAGCCTGAACTGTGTTAAAAGAACCATGGCGAGCCAGCTTCTGTTTTGCACAGACTTGAATCTGGCCATATGTTTCTCTTTTCAATTCTGGTAAGACAGATGCAGAAACATCCACCAGTTCTTCATCTACATAAACGAGAGAATTGGTAGTGTTGTTATACAGCTGTAATTCAGGATAATTTTCGTCTATTTAAGAGATGGCTTTGAACCTATAATTGTAATGGAGCTATCACCCTATAAATCAAAAACTAAGACAATCAAAGGAATTTTATGAGCCTTGTCTCAAACCCCAATTTCTTTCAATGTACTTTTTTTTTTAAGTTAGTGGATGACTATAAAATGAGATTGAATCCATATATATTCTAAAATTATCTGAATTGCAACAGAAGTAGAGCAAGATGTTCTTCAACCCGAATTAGAATGAGCCTCACATTTTAGATGCTCTATTTGAGCAGAGAGTATCAAAGGAAAGCCCGACCATGCTCAGCCCAACATGCATATTTTGAGATTCACTTTCAAGATTAATTGAGATCAGCTTCCTATGCCACAGACCTACAGCAATGAATAGGAGAATCTCTATTTTCTGTGATGCTTTATTATTTCTTTCTTATGCAGTAGGAGGCTCAGTTACTACGTGACCAAAGGAATAAGGTCAGCAGAAACCTCATGGTTGAAATGCTGCAGAACAGTGAGATAATAAAAGGTTAGGCCCTGGAGACACAGTTTGTGTTTAACGGAGTATATGTGGGGTTAAGACACAACTTTCTATATAGACTGAGGCAGCTATCCTTGTTGTACAGACAGTCATCTCTACCATATTCATTTGTGCTGATGTTTTTCTAAGCTCAAAGCATGCACATTTTAGTTAGAGGATTGATTTAATAAACTGAAAGGCCCAGCTGGACTTATATTTTCTAAAACATGCGCTTTCACATTAATGCAACTTAAAAATGAAAAACAACAACAAAAAGTCACCTTCACAGTTTTCTTTTTCTTACAACAAAAGCCCAATTAGAAAAATCAGAAATTACGAAATCAAAAAGAAAATAGGTCAAGTCAGTAATAGGGGCCATATCTGCCTCCTTCTTGAAACAAAATATTGGACATAATGCATAAAACTGTGGCTCTCAACACATTTGGACATCAGGACATGAAGGACAGTGATCTCTGTGAGACAGGAATCAAATAGGGTGAGCTCTATAATGATTTTTGCTTACTGCCTGGAGAATGTTTCTAGGTTGGGATGAAGGGAGGGGGACCTAGACAGAGACTGTAGGTCTCCCTAAGTTGAGGATAGAGCTGGGAGTCCTGGAAAGTCAAGGCAGCTAGGGTTTGCAGGGCAGAATGCTGGAGAGGGGAGCTATACAGAAAGAGAATGCTGGGGATTTGCAAAGGTCCAAACTGAACCTTCAGTGGAGTACAGATGCATGTGAGAAAGATACCCAAGGCCAGGGAAAGGACCATTCAAAAGCACTAGAGGGTACAATGCAGCTCATATAGGACTGGGAAAAGTGCCTGTTGCCAATGGCTACAGTAGAAAAACCTCCTAATTCAGGAGGCATTTGTTAGTGTACTAAAAAGGGTGTTGCCCCAGTAATGGGGAAAACGTACTAAAGACTAAAAGCTGATAGAGTCTTGCTAAGCCAAACTTAAAAGCAAGACCCAAAAGCATCACTGTTTCCATGTAACTTCACCACATCCCAGAGCAAAGCTCAAGAACATTTTTAGGAATACAGAAATGTCTATCACCTAATAATGTATAATTCTCAGTGTCTGGTATACAACTGAAAATATTACCCACAATGAGGAGAAAAATCAATTGAAATGGACCCAGAAGTGACGCAGATGATAGAGAAGTAGACCAGCACACTAAAACATATACTAGTATTGCATACCATAAATTCAAGACACTAGGGGAAAGACTGGATATGTTAAGTCTTAGAGACATCAAAAATATAAAGGCTCAAATCAAACTTCTAGAGATTAAAAAAAATACAGTGGGGGGATGAAAAATACAGTGTATACATTTAATGGCAGATTAGAAATTGTAGAAATAAAGAATATGAATAAATGAATAAATAAATGAAACGAGAAAAAAGACAGAAATGAACAAAGCAAACTGTGGGACAACTTTAGGTAACCAAAAGCAAGCATAAGTGGAATCTGTAAAAATAGGAGGGGACAGGAAAAATACTTGATTAAGTAATGGCCGAAAATTTGCCAAATTTGATGAAAACTTTAAACCCAAAGATCCAAGAAACGCAACAAAACCAAGTACACAAAACATGAAGAAAAGGACACCAAGTCATACATCATCAAATCGCTTAAAACCAATCATAGAGAGAAACTTAAAAGCAACCAGGGAAAAATGCCATGTTACATATAAAGAATAGGATGATGGTTGATTCCCTGCCAGAAACTATGCAGGCTAGAAAACAGTGGAGCAACTTCTTTAATAAAAGGCTGAGTGTGTGGGCTCACACCTGTAATCCCAGCACTTTGGGAGGCTGAGGTGGGATGATTGCCTGAGCCCAGGAGTTTGAGATTGCAGTGAGCCATGATCATGCCATCGCGCCACTGCACTCCAGTTTGGGTGACAGAGTAAGACCTTTGTCTCCAAAAAAAATAAAATAAATTTAAAAAAAGGAACAAAAGGAAAAAAATCTTCAACGCAAAATTCTTTTATTTATTTGAGACAGGGGTCTTACTGTATTGTCTAGGCTGGGCTCGAACTCCTGGGCTCAAACAATCCTCCCACCACCTTCCTCCCAAGTAGTTGGGACTACAGGCATGGGCGATACCACCTGGCGTCAACCTAGAATTCTCCATTTTTTTTTTTTTTTGAGACAGAGTCTCGCTCTGTCGCCCAGGCTGGAGTGCAGTGGCGCGATCTCGGCTCACTGCAAGCTGCGCCTCCCGGGTTCATGCCATTCTCCTGCCTCAGCCTCCTGAGTAGCTGGGACTACAGGCGCCCGCCACCACGCCTGGCTAATCAGCTAATTTTTTGTATTTTTAGTAGAGATGGGGTTTCACCGTGTTAGCCAGGATGGTCTCAATCTCCTGACCTCGTGATCCACCCGCCTCGGCCTCCCAAAGTGCTGGGATTACAGGCGTGAGCCACCGCGCCCGGCCCAACCTAGAATTCTTTACCCAGCAAAAATGTTTTTCAAAAGCAAGGGCACAATAAAGACATTCTCAGACATACAACAGCTAGAAGAATTCATCATTGGCAGGCTTGCACTAAAAGAAATGTTAAAGTTCATCAGGCAGAAAAAAATATTAGATGGAAACTTACATTTACAAAAAAATGATAAGCACTGGAAATGGTAACAACATGGGTTAGGGTTAGACAATTTTCTTATTAAAGTTTCTTCAAAAGGTAATTAACTGTGGGCCAGGCATAGTAGTTCACACCCCTAATCCTAACACTTTGGAAGGCTGAGGCGGGTGGATCACTTGAGCTCAGGAATTCGAGACCAGCCTGGGCAACATAGTGAAACCCTGTCTCTACCAAAAAAACAAACAAAAAAACCCCAGTAACACACTATGGGGTTTGTAACATATATAGCAGTAAAATGTTTGACAACAATGGCACAAAGGCCAGGCAGGGAGAAATGAAAGCAAGTTATTGCAAGATTCTTGTACAATACATGTAGTATACTATCACTTGAAAGTAGACTGGGACAAATTAAAACTGTATACTATAAACCCTAAAGGAACCATTAACATAACACAACAAAGAATTATAGCCAAGAAACCAACAAAGGAGATAAAATGGAAGCATAAGAAATACTTATAAATCCAAAAGAAAGAAAAAGAGGAAAAAGAAACAATAAGCAAATGGGACAAACAGAACACAAATAGCAAGATGACAGATTAAAATCCAAGTAGATCAAGAATCATATTAAGTATAAATGGTCATTAAATAACCCAACTGAAAAGCATAAATGGTCAGATTAGATTTAAAAAAATTCAACTATATACTGCCCACCAGACACTCACATTAAATAGAGACAGAAATTATTTAAAGGATAAACAATATATATTATGCTAACTAATAAAAAGAAAGCTGAAGTGACTATATCACTATGAGACAAAGTAGATTTCAGAGCAAAGAATTATCTCCAGGAATAAAGAGGGTCATTTTATAATGATAAAAGGGTCAGTTCATCAAGAAGACAGTGATCCTAAATATTTATGCAGACAGAGTTCATGATAGAGCTTCAAAATCCATTCCACAAAACTTTAAAGAACTGCAACAAGAAACAGACAAATCTGCAACTATAATCAAGATTTCAATATCCATCTATCAATAATTGCTAGAACAGGTAAACATAAAATCAGTAAGAATATAAAAGAACTGGACATTTATAGAACGTTCCACCAAACAACAGAATATATACTCTGTATATTTGTGTATATTTACCAAGATGGACTCTATCTGTACCATAAAACAAGTCTCAATAAATTTAAAAGATTCAAGTTATACAAAGTATATTCTCTGGTTACATTAAATGAAATTAAAAATCCCTAAGAGAAAGGTATGTGGAAAATCCCAGAATATTTAGAAACTATATGTTACATGTCTAAATAATTTGTGGGCCAAAGAAGACATCAAAAGGGAAAATACAAAGTATTTTGAATTGGAAGACAATGAAAACACACATATTGACATTTGTTAGATACAGCTAAAGCAGTACTGAGAGGAAAATTTATAGCACTAAATGCTTATTGGAAGAGAAGAAAGGTCTCAAATTAATGATTTCAGCTTCCACCTTGAGAAACTAGAATAAGAACTCAAAGTTAACTCAAAGTTAAAGGAGCTATAAAGAGATAATCTGAATAGCTCTATAGCTATTAAAAAATTGTAATCTGTAGTTAAAAACCTTCTCACATAGAAAGTTTTTAACTACAGATAAAAACCAGACCCAAATGACTTCACTGGAAAATTATTTATTTATCAATTCTTCACTGATAAATTCTTCCAAACGTTTAAGGAAAAAATAGTAACAATTCTACACAAACTCTTCCAGAAAACTGAAGAGGAGTAACTACTTCCCAGCTTGTTTTAAGAGGCCAGTATTAGCATGACACCAAATAGACAAACAGATCAATGCAGCAGTTTGGAAAGTCCAGAAACATTACCATACATATATGTCGTCAATTTGTTTTTAATAAAAGCACAAAAGAAATTTACTAGAGAAAGGATAATATTTTCAACAAATGGTGCTGGTACAACTGGATATCCATATGCAACCTCCCATCCCCTCAGAAAAGCACCCCATTGATCCATACCTCACACCACATGTGTGATCTTGTGTTAGGCAAAGATTTCTTAGATAAAAACTGAAAGCATGTCCCACTAAAGAAAAAATTAATAAAAACTAATACATTAGTGGACTTCCTGAAGATTAAGATCTTCTGATTTTCAAAAGACACTGTTAAGAAAATGAAAAGACAAAGCCACAGATGGAGAGGAAATATTTGGAAATCATGTATCTGATAAAAAGACTTGTATGCAGAATGTATATACAACTCTCACAATTCAGTAATAAGAAAGCAAACAACCCAATAGCAACAAATGGACAAAAAAACTGAGCACACACTTCACCAAGGAAGATAAACAGATGGCAAAACAGATGTTTAACATCATTAATCACTAGAGAAATGCAAATTAAAACCAAAATGAGATACCACTACACACCTATCAGGATGGCTAAAATTAAAAAGACTGACCATATCAAGTTTTGGCAAGATATGGTTGAACTAGAACTCTCATATACTGTTGGTAGGAATGTAAAATGTTATAACTGCTTTGGAAAACAGTTTGGAAGTTTCTCAAAAATTTCAAACATCCACCTACCATACGATGCAGCCTTTCCATTCCTAGGTATTTACCCAAGAGAAATGAAAACATATGCCCATACAAAGACATGTACATAAATAATCACAGGAGCTTTATTTATAATAGCCTCTTCAGTAATAAAAATAAATTACTGAAACATGCTACAATATGTATCAATCTCAAAATAATTATGCTGAGTGAAAGGAGCCGGACCAAAAGAGTACAGGTTATAGTTGATTCTCATTATTCACAGTAGTTATGTTCTATAAAGTCACTGCAAACACTGAATTAGCAAATACTGACCCATTGCTTCTAGGGGACATAAAGGGTTAGGTTCCTGTGAGCCTCTGGTTACAATATTTTCATAAGCTGATCAATATATGACCTTGTTTATGTGTGTTTCTTTTTAAAGAAACCTTGTTTAATATTTGTTGTTGATTTATTAACATTGAACTTGGCCAACAGTACTGTAACTCATGCCTGATCAACGCTTATATAACACATGTATATTCTCCATAAGGCACAATGCAGCTTTCTTGTGCTAAGAAACACTAGACAGCAATATTTGGGAGCCAAAAAGCACAAAAATGTGAAAAAGTGGCACTAAAAAGACTGCAAACAGAATGCTGGCTTATGGTATGAGAGCTGGAACAAGAAGGCAGAGTACCGCCTGATTCATCTGGGAACAAGTGCATTGGGAGACCCAAATTCTCCACCAAGCTGTGCATGACCACAACTGACTGTGGAAACACCCTGAGTACCGACTTTGGAGTTAAAAGTACATTTTAGTAAGTAGACAGATTTGCAAATATGAAATCTGTGAATAACGAAGATCAACCATACATGATTCACTTACCAAAAAATTATAGAAAATACAAACAAACCCAGAATGACAGAAAGCAGGTCAGTGGTTGTCTGGGGATGGGAGTGGGGACCAGGAGGGAGGAATTACAAAGGGGGCAGGAGGAGGCTTTTGAAGGTAATGGATATGTTCATTTTCTTGATGATTTCACAGGTACATACCTATGAAAAACTTATCGAATTGTAACTTTAACTTCCTGCCATTTATTGCATATCAATGATGCCTTGATAAAGCTGTTAAAAAGAAAACACTATTCGTAATACACTGTACCCTGCTGGTAGGAAAGAAGAGGAGAAAGACATTTATGAAATTTGTGAGGAATTGCTAGCCAAGGGGTGAAGGAGAGTGGCTCAAGGAATCAAAGGAAACTTGATGTTATCAGTAATGAAACTAGGGAATACAGAAAGATCAGGTTTCTGGAGGGCAGAGAAAATACGTTCAATTTAATATTCCTGACTTGCCTCCAAAGTCTTTCTCTCATGTCAAATCAGAGTTCTCCCAGTTCTGTCCCTCCGTGCAAATACACGAACTCCTCGACTTCTCAACAGCCGCTCATCTTCCAGCTATCTTACTTTCTTCTTTTTTGAGACGGAGTTTCACTCTTGTTGCCCAGGCTGGAGTGCAATGGCGTGATCTCGGCTCACTGCAACCTCCGCCTCCCTGGTTCAAGTGATTCTCCTGTCTCAGTCTCCTGAGTAGCTGGGATTACAGGTGCATGCCACCATGCCTGGCTAATTTTTTATTTTTAGTAGAGATGGGGTTTCATCATATTGGTCAGGCTGGTCTTGAACTCCTGACCTCAGGTGATCTGCCTGCCGTGGCCTCCCAAAGTGCTGGGATTACAGGTGTGAGCCACTGTGCCCAGCCCAGCTATCTTATTTTCTTCAATGGTACGACCACCTTTGAGTCCTTCCTCTCTTTTAATCATTGTCTGAAGACTCTTGGTTAATTCTGTCTATCACATCTAGTCCAAATTTCTTGCCTCAATTTTTGAGGCCTTCCAAAAATGCAGTCCCCACTGATCACATTGTATCTCATTATTTTCTATCCCATGTTCTCTTCATGCCTCCAAAATCTAACAGCCCATCAGAACTTAATCTGTATCCTCTCTGAATGCCTACAGAGCCAGTACCACCCCGTCTAGCATGTAATTGCTCTCCTAACTTTCAAATGTATGCTAACTATATGCCTAATTATAGAAGCTCATTAACCAACTAAAGTGAGTAAGGCACTGTTCTGGATACTATGGGGTAATCAAGGATAAATAAAGATAATGTCTGGTCTCAAATGTGTAGGGCAGGGACGACACCACCATATCTACCTCACCCAGCACAAACAGCACAATACTCAATTGCAGTTGTTCAGATGAGACACTCTGCTCTGGGCTATCAGGAAAACTTCATAGAGGAGTTGACATTTGAGCCAGATCTTGAAGGTTGAGAATATTTTCATGTTAAGAAGAGGGCTTCACAGGTGAAAAGAACGGGAGAAATCAGAGGCAGAAAGGAGAAAAAGGCAAAGTTGTATGCTTCATGCAGGTAGGGACTGTGTTACCCACATCTTCAATCTCTCAGGGCCCTTAATATAGTCATTGGCACACAGTCCACACTCAGTGCATACGCACTGGGTTGAATTTGTTATACTTGATTTTAAGTGGTTTCATCTAGATCCTAAGTGAATAATGTGCTACAAGTGAGGTGGAGAGCTATATATTTATACGCCTGGGTTAAGTGGCTCACATTTACACCACTAACACCAAAATTGGAAGGGTAATTTAAAAATGACTTTAATGGCTTTTTCCCAGGCAGTACAGCTATATGTAAAATAGCTGGTGCAGTTGGATCTAGTCCCTGATTGCTCATATATTACCCATGAAATAAGTAGAAGATTAATATCCTCTTTGACTCCAGTTTTGTAAAATTATGATATTTATAACCTTTTAAATACAAAAAGTCCATTACATCCATACTATATTTAGATGCAATCTTAACCACATCTTTAGATGTAATTTGTTTTGTGATGGTAACTGATGTGATTTTTACTCATAATTTTACTTACAGTTTTTACATTATGTAGAATTTCAAAGAGAAACCACGTTTTACTCTGCTAATGTAGCAACAACTGGAGTTCAAAAGAGGTGTCATTTTTAATTCTCGGTCCCAAACTTTCAGGAAAAAGCTTCAGAACAAAGAGCTGCAAATTAGTAGTTACAGAAACTCCCATATTATAAACACTCAGTATTTCCTTTCCTACCATGTGTGGGCAAACCAGCATGCACAATTTGTAGGCTAATGTTAACTGTTCCAAGAGTGGAGTCACTAGTCTATTTTGTATGTGACATGGGAAAAAGATCAGTCTCACTGTGTAGTAGATGTGAGACTTGGAAAAGGAACTGAGAATTCTAAATAAAACAGCCTGCTAGCAAAACCACGCCACCTTACCACTTGAGCTGAAGTCCACAGGCCCGATCCACTTGAAGGCTGGTTTACGACCTCGCTCTTCTGTTACATGCACTTTCTTTATCAGAGCCAAGCTGGTCAGAACATTGGCTATGTCATAGAGGCGTCGTACCTTTGCTTGAAGATATAAAACACGATTACGGTCATGCTGCCTGTGACACCATGACAGTTTAGTTTATGTGACAGGTAACTTTTCTCGGCTGCCATATAAACCTCAGGTGGAAAGCAGCAGGTTGGGATGAGGAGACCAGTGGCTCTGTCATAAAATCACCCAGGATTTATGTACCTGCAGTATCTGAAGGCTAAGGGAAGGTCAGTGTGTCCTTCCATTTCCACAACTTCACACCTCTTACAAGAGGCACCTGGCGACAAACAGGGAGCACTGTGATTGCAAAAACACCAAGGGAGGGAATGGGCTGTAATTAAAAGCTTAGTAAATGTAATTCTGACATGGCACGTCAAAAGCATGCCCTGAGTTTCTCCAAGCAGGAGACTGTGGCGCCAGCTCCACAAGGCAGCTGGTCTGTGAAAATGACAAAGATTCCCCAGAGCTTCCTGCCAGGCTGCACTCCTGGGCACACAGGATGCTCAAGGTCAACAGTACAACTGTACTAAAGACAGGCAGCTCCTCACCTGAAATTGTAGCATTCTAGCCACCCAGTGAGAAGGGGTTGGATGGGCCTTGCCTGAATCTTAAGTGGCTTTGGGAGAAACACTTAAATATATACAAAGTACAGGAAATACTCAGAAGGGGTGGTAGCACATGAGACAGGCACGATAATGACCACAAAGTATTTTCTATTCAAGAAATTGATTTACAGGTAGGAAACCCACTTGACCTCAGTGTTAAGATCAAGCAAAGGAGTTTGAATTATCATCCAGAAATAGGAAGCATTCACCCTGGATGCAGCTTTCTTCTTCCCAATCCTGATTTTATCTAGCTATTTCACCCATAGGGTGACTGTAATTTCAGCTGGAAACAAAAAATAGCCAGATGTTGCAGCTCATGGTTTCCCAGGGCTTACAGGCTACCAGCAGCCCAGGGCATTTGGCTCAGTATCCAAGATGGACAGAAAAGGAGGATGCACTGGGTGTGATACTTGGAAACTCTCTCCCTGTCCATGTCCCACCACCCTTACCCTGGCCATTCTTCTGGTTCTTACCTGTAGACAATTTTCATCTCCACCCTTCAGAAGAGTATGCAGGGGGTGGGGAAAAAAGGGGAAAGAAAACTCAGACATTCTGTCTTGGATGCAGCAATACTAAAGAGAAATGCAAAATAATTCACACCCTCCCTGACCGGAGTTCTCAGGATAGTGTTCTGTTTTTCACTCTACTGAAACCACCGAGGAAAAGGCACTGACAGGACTCTAAGCTGAATTCTAGTAGGTGACTAACTTACCTCTCACAGCACCAAAAACCTTGATGAATGCAGGAAAGGAGTATGTATGTCAAAAACAATATATATATTTTTAATCTTGGAAGCAGAAAATATCAACACATGAAATCCCACCCTTTATGTGCTAGTAAGTTGATGGAGGTGAAGATTCTTACTTTTAAATTTACTATGGTCTGGGGCATCTTGGCTTTCTTCTATCAGTATTTTGGCAGCCACATCCAGAGTGACAATCTTGGTTTTGGAGACGAGGAACAGCATGACAAACTTCTGGCTCATAATTCTCAGAGACTTGTCTTTTCTACTGTTTGCAGATGCTACACAAGGAATGAAACAAAAGCATCAAAGTATATGATTTTCTACAAGAAAGACTATACTTGCAGCTTGCCAAAATGATCTAGCCCTATCAGCAGATGGAAAGATCACCCTTGTCATTGGCAGAAGCTTACTGGATACACATCACAGAAGTCAGCTCAGGAAGAAATGAGGCAGATTTTCTTGTGGCTTGTAAAATTACTCTACAGTAGGCATAAACTCTGAGATGCATATTTTAAACCACTCAATGCTTTACACTTATACTTCCTATAATAGAATCCATACGGTAGTTTTCCTGAAGCAACTTCTTGGAAAGATTAATGTAGAAGGATAAAAAGATAGGGTGGGAATACAGAATTGTTTTCAGAGCCTCAACTCTCCTCTCAAAGGCAAAAACTCCATTTTTATTTCTCTGTGTCCGCAATATCTAGACTATACCCTAAACATAGAAGATGCCCGCCTCTTCCACTTCTTTTCAGAAATATGTGAATAAATGAACTATATATAAACAGGAGACAGATTAGATATGTGCTCCTGTGGATGGCAGGCAAACCATCCCCAACAGATGGCTGTCTTCTCTGGTTATTAAGATAAGTACTGGCTCATGGGGTGGAACTAAAAGGCAGGAGGCAGTAACTCTAATGAAAACCAGGCCCACCTTTCTTTCCATTTCTTATATTTGCAAGTGAGACGTGATACTTGTACTTTGTCATCTTAGCAACAGGGATGAAGATCAATGGCTAAAACAAGAAGAGGCTAAATATGAATCGGGAAGAACGATGCCGATGTAAATAAAAATTCTGCACCAAATGAAAGCAGAGGTTGTCTGTCTTTCTTATCAACATTTTCTGTGAATGGAGTTCTTTTCTAAGTAGTCTAAGTCTACTCCAGTATATAATTAGATAAAATTCTTTGAAAATATAACTTTTTCAAAGTAAATCTTACAGTTGCACAAAAAGAACCAGCATGGGGCTGCCAATCTAAAAATGGGAGTAATGCTAGTGATCTATTCTCCCAACAGGCCAAACTCGAGTGAACTGCCATGAGCCAGGTTTATTTCAATGAGGTCAAGTGGGCAGTCCAGTTGGGGAGCCATCTGCTTCTCTTTCTTCAGTGAGGAGAATAAGAGAACATCTCCCTCCAGGGTTGTCAACCTGGCACTTCCCATCTGAGCAGTGAATCTGCAGAAGAGACCATCACTTGCTCTTTCTCTGCCATTACTCATGAAGTTACAATGGACTCACAAGAGGGACAGTCGGGTTCAGAGAAATCCAGTAACTGTTGTTCCTGGGAATCTGGATCACCATCTTTTTTACGTTCTCCAAATTTATAATCTATCAGGTCCAGCTCTTTCTGTTGGAGGTAGGCCATTTGCTCTTCATATTTCTGCTCCTCTCCTAGTCTCTGGAGGTTCCTCAGGGTTTTTGGCAGGCTGTGCCGTCCATGCCAGCCATACTGATTCTTAGCCACCCGGCTGACCAGATGCAGCGACTCCAGCACATTTACAATGTCATAGATGCGTCTCCTTTCCACACCTGTTTGAAAAACAGAGGCTGATGGACATCATGCAGACAAACATTTTTGAAGAGAAGTTCCTTGAGGGCCTGGACTATATCTGTGAACTACTTTGTCTGATCCCCAATATAATGCCCACTGCGTGGATGCTCAAGGAATTCAACCTGTAAGGATGCAAGCAATATAAATTATTTTTCTTTTTCCTTCTTGAGATCCAACCCTTAAAAAAATCTAAGATAAAACATCTATCTAGAGATGGTGACATTTCCATCTGTCTGACAAACAGTACAGCAACTGCTCTTTAGACCCATTAGGCAAACCACGCGAACATTTCAGCAGCTGAAACTGGTGGCCTGAGCAATACATGTAACAGTGTGCCTAATGGACACGTGATAAATGGATGGTTGACTGTGACTTGTGTTCCTAATTATGCAGACTACAAAATCAACTGTGTCCAATAACTGACACTTCCCTATTAGACAATACTGTCTATCCTTTCGTGAAGTTCCAATGATATAAAAAAATTACCTTGATAACGCTCTCAATGGACCAGTAAGGAAAATGGATGCAAATATTATGTTTTCTATTTTGAACTGGAAATGCAGGTGTCAAGGGCTTGAATACCCTTCTCATATTGCTGAAAGAAGCCAGAGCTGGGGTTGGAACAACATGGGAGTCTCCTTTTGTTCATCATGGCTATAGACAATTCTCTGTGTTCTCATTCACCGTAACCCGGCAAACAGCCCAAAAGTGAAACACAGAGACTCCAGTACAAGCTGATCACGAAGCTCCGCAGCTCACTACTCACTTTCCCAACACTCCCAAGGCAGCTAGGATTATAAACTGTCCATTAAACCTAGCAAAAATACTTATAGTTGTTAAGGGTGGGGGGCTCTTGGGTCAGACTGCCTACATTTGAATCCCTGATATATCCCTTACTAGCTGAGTGATCTTGGGAAGTTATTTAACCTTTTTGTGCCTTTGTATTTATCTTATATAATAATGAGGATGAAATGTAACTGTAACTGTAGAGTCCCCAGTAGGTGTTAATTTTAAATACATACTTTTGTCATTCCTTTTGGCATGACATTCGTTATACCTAAAATCCCTGCTAGCATAAGAGGTCATAGTAGAAACAGATTTTAAAAATCTCACGTCTGTGACTCATTCTGTTATCCAACAGGCCCTTGGGCACATAGCAAAAGCCTCCAGGCATCTTGCAGAAAACCAGCCCAGCTACAAAGAAGCCTTCTTTCATTTCACTTGCCAGGAGCTGTTATATAATCAGGGCAGACTCTGAATGTAGCTGTTGGCCCTTCAAAAATTTAACATGAGAAATATACCAAATTACAATGAGAACTCCAGAGCTGATAGGAAGTTCTATCACATGCATGAAGAGGCATTTCACAGTAAATCAGAATATTTCAGCTCATGACCCTGAAAGGCTTGTTACCCTCACAAGCTCAGGCTTCGGTGCCAGATGCCTGCCGGAAGGTGCTGGCAGGAGCAGGCAGCAGCCCCTTGTCCAGAACTGCCTGCTTCTTTATTCCAGTCTGTTTTCATGTATTAACACATCTTGTTTAGAGCATAGCATTCTATAAACCTTCCCATTAGAAATATCATGTGACCGCAACTGACACCCCAGGGCCAGCCATATGCCCGGCTGTTTTGTTAGTTGATATCTGATAACAAGCTGTTAAGTCTCCATCTAGTGGCTAGACATCCCAAGAAGGGAAAACAAAATAAGTTTCTGACCACCTGGAGATTCTCAGTATGATTCTCAGGATGCACAGTGAGTGTTTAGTAGGTGCTTTTGGTGAAAACCAACATGAGAGCTGCCTGTCTGCACAATCCCTTACCTCTTTCATCTGAACTGAGTTTACCCATCCACTGGCTGGTGCACTAAAAAGTTCCACTTCACAGGTCTCAAGACCCGTAGGTTACTCTGGGGGCTTGCTCTGTCAGAACAGTTTTCCTTGCATTCAGTCTTCTTTTTCTTTTGTATTGAGGTCATTCTATTAATCCCAATCACAGCATTAGTTATATGGTCAAGGATTTACTAATTTTTGCTATGCTTCCCTTAGTTGCTGATGGGACTTACTAAGAATTCTCAGCCCAGAAAACAGTTTCCTAGGCTGTGCTATTAAGTCACTTCCAGTTCTCTAAACTGTTACCCATGATATCCAGTGTTAAATCTACATGGCACTGGAATCTGGAAAACAATGCAATTTGAATGCTCTGCACGTCCTTAGTTAAATACAGTCCTGCAGTCTGTAACCTGGGATGTAGCACAGACTTCAGACTCAACCCCAAAAGACAGTCGTCAGTGAAACAGCTTCCAGCAAGGGACGCCATTTTATGATGTCACATGAAAAGATGGCATGCTTGTTTGGTAGGTCTGGGTGATCAGGAGGCATTGGGAAGCTGTGGAAAAATCTCTGGAGTTCTGCTCCAGGCAGCCATAACATGGGGATGTGCACAACGATCTGCAGCCATACAAAAGTAGGAGTCCACTTTTCTGTCCTCCCTGGGATGTAACACGGCCCTCCAACATCTAATCCTTTGTCTTCTGCAGTGACACCAGTGTAACACTCCTCAATGGAAGTTGGGTACATGGAAGAAGTAGGCTTCATGAACCCCAATGAAAAGGATATCAGATGATCTTTCATTTTACCTTCATTACTGTAAGACTACTTTCTAGGACCCTGGACCCAAAAGCCCTCAACTGGATTTTCACCATGCCTACTGGAAGATGCTGGCAGGAGCAGTCAGCAGTCCCTTGCCTAAAACTGCCTGCTTCTTTATTCTAGTCTGTTTTCATATATTAACACATCTTGTTGAGGGAGTATAACATTCCATATACCCTCCCATTAGAAATGCCATGTGAATGCAACTGATACACCCAGGGCCAGCAAGGGGACCCAATTTTTTGATGTTCAGTTGGCTCACTTTCCCTTTCTTGATTAATTGCCCCCAATCCTAGAATACTATATTATACTTCTGGGCTCCAAATCGGCCCCCAAACCATAGCATTCTACTTCCTCTTCCTATAGAGATGGACAGGACAGCTAGGGTATCAACATTCTAGTAAGAGCTGACTAGAAACTGTTCCACATAATAAGAGCTCTCCATGCCAGCCATTGACTTTGGCATGTTACTGACATTATCCCTAACTTTGCTATATCTCTGCAAGGTAGGTGCTGCAGTTTCCAAGTTATAGACCAAAAGAAGGTTACTTCACTTTTTAAAGCTCTTACAGCCTGTAAATTAGAGAGCTGGGCTTCAAATCCAGCCCTATGTGACCCAAAGCCCAGCCCATGGTCTTCTTATCATAACCCACTGTCTCTTCTTCTCAGTTTCCAACAACCAAAATCTGTTTAGCTTTCAGCTTGAATAATTCAAGTAGACTTTCCTCTACTTGGGCACATTTCTCTAGGATATGGAAGAAATAGAACTAAGAAACAAACTAAAAATTATAATCTATCATTTATTTATTTAGCTGATTTGTTCAGAACTTTTTCTTTTTTGTGTGTATGTAAAACCTTCCTATTTTTAAGGGGACACCCTGACACCTTCATGTCATTGTGATTTCTGCTTATTTAACGAGTGTCAACAATATGTTCACTCTGGAACTAACTGCAATGTCCACTAGGGGTCTCTATTCTGAAGCAGGTGTATACATATTTCCAGCACACACACCCATCTCACATCATACACTCATGCACGTGCACACACGGATTCTTCTTTGTTATAAGGTTTAGTTGTTTGAGTTATGTCCAAATGACCTTTTTCTAATTTGACCCACTTGCTGTGCCAATCATTGTATAGGGCTTTAAACATAATGCTCTTCCTCTCAAATCTTGCTTTACAAAGTTGAAATAACACTAGTTCTGAACTCCTGGAAGCATTATTAAAAATAAAAAGCAGGCTATTTCTAAATAGTTTTGCGTCTGTCTGAAGTAAGATGAATTTAAAATATGAGATACTAATTTGTAATGTAACTCTATTATAAAAATATTACTTATTATAGAAATATTTTTTAAGGTTAAAAAAGACTGCATTTTCATTTGGTCCTCAGGTCTAAAAGGCTCCCTGAAATTCCATGTATAATGAAAACAAATTTGACGATGACAAAGGAAGCTCTGCCTGTTCCTCTGTCTTCACCCGATTGAGGGGCCCACTCTACTTCAAGCCTTCAGCCTGCCCAAGGAAACCAGTTTCCCACTGTAACTGGAGACAGACCTCCAGGTAATCTGATGATACA
Organism: Homo sapiens; assembly: GCF_000001405.40. Taxonomy (NCBI): domain Eukaryota; kingdom Metazoa; phylum Chordata; class Mammalia; order Primates; family Hominidae; genus Homo; species Homo sapiens. Next base: position 77,050,573 of record NC_000012.12, read on the forward strand.
TACCAAGACTGACAGCAACTTCATCTAGGGAGATGGTAGTTTTCTCAGTTGACAAGGGATAACTTGGATAGCGAGCTAGAAACTTCTGGCACAGGAGTCCTAAACTTTTCTGTTTTCTGCTTGGCCTTTGCTTTTCAAATTCGTCCACAGCACTGTCCCCAACAACATCAAGCTACAGAGGGCAGATAGAAGGGAGGGGGAAGATGTCACAGTTAACATCCTAATGGAGAAATGGCAATGGCCAGTGTTGGCAAACTGGGGGGACATCTCAATCCATACCATCCTAGATTCTAGTTAAAATACATTTCCTAATCTAATTCCCTGAATGTTTTATCTATTGTCTTCTCTGGACTGATTTTTTTCTCCTTTATAATTTGAGGCTGAGTCTATTAGTCAAAAGTTTGACAAATGAAAAATGAGAGTCATTTACAGGTTGCTACAGTCTAGCTACTAGTGCGCTCGCTAGGCCTGTGGAATCAGCATCACCAAGAGCTTGTGAGATGTAGAAGCTCAGGCATCAGCTGTATCAGAATCTGCCTTTTCATAAGATTCTAGGTGATTTCTAATGACGTGGAAGTTTCAGACGCACTGGCCTGCATTCTGTCACCAAACTGTTTTATATTTTACAATCGACCAAAGGTTGATGAAAGTGAATGAAGGCAGTCCAATCATATTCTTCCTTATCCTTTTATTTGTAAATACATTAAACTAGCATCCTGTCTCCTCAACCCACATTTGAAAGGGGCTCCATTCAAGCCCCAAGAAAGTAAAAGGCTTTTCAACAAACAGATTCAAAAGAAAAGTGATATAATTATTTCTACAGATTCAGAAAAAGCATTTGATAAATTTAACAGTCATTCATGATTTTCAAAAACACCTTTAAAAAACTAGGAATAACATACCGGGGCCTGTCGTGGGGTGGGGGCAGGGGGGAGGGATAGCATTAGGAGATATACCTAATGTAAATGATGAGTTAATGGGTGCAGCACACCAACATGGGACATGTATACATATGTAACAAACCTGCACACTGTGCACATGTACCCTAGAACTTAAAGTATAATAAAAATACAATTAAAAAAACCTAGGAATAACAGAGAACTTCTTCAATGAAAGGTATTCATGAAAACACAACAGCAAACATCTATTTGTAAAACCTTGGACGTGTTCCCTTAAAGTCAGGAAACAATATGGATGCCCATTATCACTTTCTCTTCTATCTCATATTGAAGACTCTAGTCAATGCATGAGGACACGAAAAAGAAACTGAGGCACAGGGACTGGAAAGTAATCAGCTACTTTCCTTCTGCAGAAGATGTCACTATTCATACAAAAAAACTCAAAAGAATTTCAGACAAATCATTAAAAATAGTTTTAGAATTTAGCAAGGTAGTTGAATACAAGATAATATGTTTTTTAAAGTCTGCTGCATTCCTGTACAACAGTAACAGCAAATAAATTGAAAAGACATCATTTACGAAAGCAACAAAAATGATAAGGATTTTAGAAATAAATCTAGCAAAAATCTATTTGCATAAAATCCTAAAACTTAGATTTTAAAGAATACTTAAAATTTAGTGAAATATATTGTCTTCATAGATAAGAAAACTCAGTATCTTAAAGAGGTTAATTTTTAATCTCTAGATTAAATGCAATCTCAATAAAATCCAATCTAAAATACACATGGAAGAACAAACAGCCCAGAGTAGCCCACACACTGAAGAAAAATAAGTTGAGGGTCCCATTTTACCTGATATCAGTGCTTATTACAATAGGGTATTAGGGCAGGGATGGACAATGGAACAGGAGGAGTTCAGAAACAGACACACATGTAAATGGAATTTTAATATGAAAGCAGTTGCACTGCCAGCTAGGGGGAAGAGAAAGACCTCCTGAATAAATGGTGCAGGGACAACTGATGATATGTATAGAAAAGCAAAGTTGTATCTTGACTCATACCATACACAAAAAGCAATTCCAAATGGATCAAGGATTTCATGTAAAGCAAATTTTAAATGAAGAAAATGAAGGAGAATATTTTTCTAACCTTGGAATAGGGAAGAGCTTCTTCAGACACAAAAAACATTACCCTTAAAAGGAAAAAATGAACTATATTAAACTTAAGAACTTTTGTCCATCAAGAAATAACATAAAGGGAAAAGACAATTACCGAACTGAAAGAATAGATACATAACATATATAATAAAGGTTTAGTATCATTATATAATCAACCCCTACAAATCAACATGACAAAAAAAAACCAATTAAAATTGGCAAAGAACACAAACAGGCATTTCACAGAGGAGCAAAAAACATGGTGGCCAGTAAACATGTGGAAAGAAGCTTAATCTCATGAGTAATCAAAGAAAAGCAAATGTATATCACAAAAAGATACATACTGTATAGACATGAGATTAGCAGAAATTACTAAATTTGACAATTTCAAGTGTCAGAGAGGATATGGGTGACTAAAAGTTTATATATTTCTGGGGGGAGGCAAATAGTACTTTGGAAAGCAATTTGGCATTATCTTGTGAACATCTGTATATCTAATGACGTAGCACCTATACTAGTAGGTATGTACCCAAAACAGTAGTTCTCAAACTTTTTGCTCCAAGGACCCCTTTATGTTCTTAAAAACTACTGAGGACTCCACAGGGCTTTTTGTTTATGTGGGTTATCTATTGATAGTTAGCATGTTAGAAATTAAAATTGAGGCAGTTAAAATGTTTTGTGAGAAAGGGGCATTTTATATATTATTTTTCAAATCTCTTTAGTTTCTGGATTAATAGAAGAGAACTGATTCTTGTGCTTGCCTTTTGTAGTCAGTCTGTTGCAATATCCACATTGTGTACTTCCTGGAAGACTCCAGTGTACACTTGGGAGAGAATGGGAGTTCAAATGGCAAAGGTCTTTGTATAATTATGAAAAACAGTTTTGACCTCCTGACTCTCTGAAAGACTGTCTGTGGACACTGAGGTCCCCAGATGACCTTTTGAGAACCACTGCCCAAGGCAAACTTGTATATGTACACCAGCAGACATAAACAAGAACGAATATCATAGCATAGTCTGTATTAGCCCTAAACTGCAAACAACCCAAATGGCTATAAACAGGAGAATGAATAAATTGTGGTGTAGTCATGCAATGGAATATCATACAGCCATGAAAGAACTACAGCTACATGCGAAAACACAAATGAACCTAAAGGATGTATGTTGATTGACAAAAGCAAGTCCTCTAAGACTATAAATACAAATTCAGAAGAATGGTTATTCTGTTGGGGAGAGAAATGTAAATTAATTACATCGCATCCATTTTTGGGCTGAGAGGTAGATTCATGGTGTTAAAGGTACTGCAAAGGATAAGTGTATTTTACATGATCAAATAGTCTATCAAAAGGTAATAAAGACTAGTTTTAAAAAGGTATAAAAAAGTCTGTTTTAACACTGAGTACCCCAAGACAGTAAGAAGGGAACAATAGACACCAGGGCCTACTTGAGGGTAGAGGGTGAGAGGAGGGTGAGAATTGAAAAACTACCTATTGGGTATTATGCTGATTACCTGGGTGACCAAATTATCTGTACACCAAACACTCGCAAAATGCAACTTACCCATGTAACAAACCTGCACATGTACCCACTGAACTTAAAAGTTAGAAAGAAAAAAAAAAACTACTTAAAACACTTGACTTTGATCTAATAAATCAGACATTAAAAGCATCAGTATAGTAAGTTTTCTGGATACAAGATCAATACACACACACAAAAAAATCAATTGTATTTGTATATACTAGAAACAAACTATGGGAAATTGAAACTAAAAAAAAAATACAATTTGCAATAGCATCAAAAAATTTGGAAACCTAGAGATAAATCTGACAAAAGATGTATAACACCTGTATACCAAAAATTGTGAAACACTGCTGAAAGATATTAAAGCCCTAGATTTTAAAAGAAAGTCTGTTTTAAATCCACCGAAATTTTAGGCATTTACTTCCTACAGGTGGTGAACCTTTCTAGTGACTGATCGCTAAAATCTCTCTATAAAGCCTGGGTAGAAAACCAAAATTTTAATTGTTTTAGGGGCGTGTTAAACAACTAGTTCTGCCAAAGTAAGAGATCAACAATGTTACCTTGCGAAAGAGGTCACTAACGATTCCCATTGGCTGATTTTCACTTTGCTATATTTTTGTCAAAAAAATTACAAAAAATCTAATACTTACATGCCTTTGACAACAAAAGGCACATTTAATCTTATTTAGTTTTTAGAACCCCAATAAAACCAGGACAGGTACCACGACCCTCATTTTACAGGTGAGTAAATTGAGATGCAGAGATCCTGAGTGATATCCCCAACTCACCCAGCTAGTGATTTGAACCTAAGGCCTTAGACCAGCTCCTTGTGTGATCCACATCAAACATAAGACGGAAAGGAAGCCAAAGAACAGCCCAGACTTAAAAAAAGGAATTGTGAAATTCCTCTGGCTTCAAGCACATAGGAACTACTGTGTGATTTGTATTTAGTTACATGAAAGAATCTCTTACTACTACCGCTACTCTACCACTGCAAGATATATAACAGATTAAATTCATTCTGTTCTATGAATTTCAAGTTGTAATTCGAGACATCTTTTTTCTCTCTTCCCAATTTCTTCATTTTGGCAATTTTTATAGCTTGAAAAATCCGCCAAAAAGAGAAAAATGGTTAAGAATACTGAAATCTGCAAAACTTTTCTTAGGAAGTCTGAGAAAAAGCTTGATGGGAAGTGAAAATAATTACCTTTTTTTTTTTTTTTAACGAAGTATAGACATGCTGCTTATTCAACAGCACTGGTTCCCCACAGAACAGGTAATTTAAAGATGGCTTAACTTCAATAAAGCCCCAAACTAACCAACTGAACATATATAAGAATAATGGAATTTCCTAAATCAAAAATATTTACATTAACATTATCCCTAAAATCTGGGCAAAATTAAAATTCACAGCAGCATTTAAAGAATCCAAATTCCTTCATTAAATAAAAATGATTAAATATCATTACTTTAAAATAATTTATCATTTTTAAATGAGCCCTGGTCCAGGGAGTATCATACAGAAAAGAAAGCATTCATTATGAAAAATAAGATAGAATGAGAATTCTACTACAAATCAAAAGATATTCAGTTTGCCACTGCTTTTGGCTCAATAGGAGCTGAAAAGTTGACAGTTCTATGATTTTTTAATAATCAAGTAAAATTGTTTAAGTTCTAAAAAATCCCTGAGGAGCACAGTCTGTTTACCTGTAGAGAATCTGTAAATGCATCGTCCTTGTTTTCAATGGGTCGGAATAGTCCCTTTTTCTTCTCCCGGTCCCTTATATCTGGGCTGGCAGCACTAATGAGCATCTTCAGGTTAGCTGTGGGTGTCCATGGTTCCGCTTGCTGTCTGTCAACAAACTTAACTGGAGTAATGGGATTTCTTTCTGGAGTAAATTTTTTTTGCTTCGATAAATCAATTGGTTCATTTTTTATTGGAGTCTTCGGGGCCATCCTTGATCGATCAACAAATATATTTTCCTATTTTAAAAAAGAAACTTTTAGCAAGAATGAGAAAGGGCAGGTATCAGCTAAGAGTATACTTTGTTCCCACCATTCACTAAGACTTGAAAATACAAATAGGACCATATGTTTAGGGCTGAAAAGTATCAGGATAGGACTAACGAAAAGTAGTCATGGGAATAGAAGAGTGGCTCCAATGAGAAGTAGATTATACTCTGCTACTCCTTTTACACCTATCTTTCATGGTATCTCTGTAAAAGAAATCACAACGTATCTGTTACTGTTGCATGTTTATAACAGATGAGGACTATGAGGGCCAATGTGGGTTGAGTCCATATTGTTTCTAAGTGTCACCTTTTTTAAAACACTACTTACAAGTTTGCATTGACTAGTGAAGAGCAACAATGCTTCTGTAGTTCAATGTGCACCAGTGCTAATACAGCACTTAGTAGCAGGACCAGTTAATGGAAGAGCATCCAACAAAATCCCACATTTTAAGCCAACCTAGAGAGCTCTCTAACGTCATTCTCCAGAGCAGTGCATCTCAAACTACCCATGGTAAAGGACTCGTTTTTTTAGATTTCCAAACTCCTGCAAACTGATATGTGACCTTACTTCACAGGACTAATGTGCAACACAACTCCCACCAGATGTGATTTGCCATTTGAGTTTGTCACTCAAACTGACCCACAGCTTCTTCAACAAGAAGAGACCACTAATCATAAGCTTAGATATGGTGGCAATACTGAATTGCTACTGAGGTTTATTTTTCTTACTTTTTTTTTTTTTTTAAAAGATAGGGTCTCACTCTGTTGCCCAGCCTGAGTACAGTGGTGTGATCATAATTCACTATAGCCTCAAACTCCTGGGCACGTGCAATCTTCTCGCCTTAGCCTCCCAAGTAGCTGGGACCACAGACATGCACCACTACACCCAAATACTTATATTTTATTTTTTGGAGATAGGGTCTCACTCTGTAACCCAGGCTGGAGGGCAGTGGCATGATCACAGCTAACTGCAGCCTCAAACTCCTGGGTTCAAGTGATCTTCCCACCTCAGCCTCCCAAAGTGCTGGGATTTCCAGTGGTGTGCATACTACAGTGGTGTGCACACCACTGCACCCAGCTAATTTTTAAAATTTTGTGTGGAGACGGGGTCTTGCCATGTTGCCCAGGCTGGTCTTGAACTTCTGGCTTCAAGTGATTCTCCTGCCTCAGCCTCCCAAAGTGCTAGAATTACAGGCATGAGACACCAGGCCTGGCCTTTTTTAATTTTTTGTAGAGATCGGGGTCTCACTATGTTACCAAGGTTCATCTCAAACTCCTGGCTTCAAGTAATCATCCCATCTTGGCCTCTCAAAGTGCTAGGATTACAGGCATGAGCCACCACATCTAGACTACTGAGGTTTTTAAGTGCTTAACTCTCAAGTTCCGTTCTTAATTTTTTGCACCCTGGTGATAGTTTGTGGAATACCATCTGCCTCCAGACCACCCGTTGATGTAGACTGTCTTAAATAATTCTAAGAAAAGACTAACGATGGGCCCATTGTAAAAAAGGACTAAGTATATAGAATCCACCTTTGGAACTAACAAGTAATTAAAACGTATCTTTCCCCTAAAAAAGTTTCAAAAATTCAATATGAGAATTCGATAATTCAATATTCAAAAACAGAAAGATTCTGCTCTTTCTGTAGTATTCCTTTCCAGTCAATAGTGTGTCATATAATTACAAAGGTAGATGAGTTCTCAGTCACTCCTTCCCTGTACATTCTGTATAGCTACTGAATGCTTGGGTTTTGGTTGAGCAGGGGGTTACAGTAAGTGTTTTCCTATAAATGAGCAACGTGTGAAGAGGTAAAATATTGGGAGAAACTGGAGTTTGTGTAGGCAAGGCAACTCTTGCTCCTTGGATCAGCAGAAGCTGCATGCTAGCCATGGCAACATTCGGTCCTAGTATAAGAGGAAGGAGAGGAGTCAGTGGAAGTGGCGATTTCTCATACTACAGTAAGTACTCGGCCCAGAATGCTGCATCTACCCACCTCTTTTAACAAGTCCCTGTTAGTGTGCTATTCTGATAAAGGCTTCTACAGGTGAACTCTCAAGGGAAATTACTGATTACTATGTGCCACGCTCTGTTTCATGTATTTTGCATGTATTGACTCCTCATCCAATCCTGTGACATAGGCACTAATATTTTTCCGTTGTATAGATGAAGAAACTGAGGCACAGAGAAGTCAAATAACTTGGCTGAGGTCACCTATGACCTCATTCAGTGTAAAATCATCGGTATGCAAGAAACAGCTGAAGGCAGAACTTTCTGAAATTCTACACTTAAAAATGAGCCTGTGTCCTGGGCACAAACTGGGAGGAAGTTATCTTTTCCACAGCTCCAACCAAAGGTACCCAGCAGGCCACTGATCCCCACTAGTACCTAGCGAGAGGCAGCATGGGGAAATAGTTATATACACAGGATGTAGGGCCAGTTAACCTACCCCTGCTGCTTATCAGCAGGGGTGAGTGTGGCAAGTTCCTGTACCTCACTATACTTTATTTCTCTCAACCGAAAATGAAGTTCATAAAAATACCAATCTCAAGGGTTATGAGATTAGTTCCTGGCATATAGTGAGCGCTCGATAAAACTTAGCTATTATCTTTTCCCTCTTTTCTATTCTTTATTACCATTCACTCTGGCATTTCGAGCTAAATATACTACAGCACATCATATTGCTATTTAACTTCCAGGATGTGTGTCTTGTCTCAGTAACAAGACTGTGCCCTTGAAAAGGTCAAGAAGCAAGTTCCACATGTCTTGTTCATCGCAATTTTTGGCACAATGCGTTGCCCACTGCAGATACTCAAAGAACACTGTGCTTTGATGAGTTATTCCAAAAGGTATCCTCATGGTGGAGGGTGTGGTCCAGGCATGCTGGGTGGACAGAGATTTACATGCCTTCTCCATTGCTTCCAAAAGAGTTACTTTAGCGAGGGAGCAACTGAGAATGGATTATTTCTTCATATATTTTGATATATTTTCACTGTAGTTTACTGAATACTTAAAGTAGGAGGGGAGCTAGGTCATGTGGTAGGTTATGATTGTATTACACCTCTACATCAAGAAAAAAAAATGCCAACCCAATTGTTTTCTAAGGTGTCAGGTGGACAGAAAGTCAACTGCAATCTAGTCACACCTTGCTCCATCTGTCTGTCCTGCTATGCTGACAGCATATACGGCTGTGGAAAGGGCACTGCAATGGAAACCTGATTTGTGTCCCAGCTGTTTGTATCTTTTTGATCCTGGATAACTGTTCATTCTGTCTGGGCCCAGATTTCCGTAGGTATAAAATGAGGAATTTAGATGAAAGTATCTATCTCCAAGGTTTTCTAGCAAGGCTGCTTAGCTGTGGAGTGGATGCTGGGATGTACCCTGATCTCTTCAGACATGACTCATTCCCCAGCTGCTAGAAGTAATGCCAACAGTCATCCCATAACTGGACTGCTTTGGCTGAAGACAGCTGACTTGTCCAAGATCACACCACTTCCTGGGAAGCCTCTCCTGTACTCATTGGCTGGTAGAAGTAGCACAGACATATAAAAGCCAGGACTCTGGGAGGCCAAGGCAGGCGGATCACGAGGTCAGGAGATCGAGACCATCCTGGCTAACACGGTGAAACTTTGTCTCTACTGAAAATACAAAAACAAAAATTAGCTGGGCGTGGTGGCGGGCGCCTGTAGTCCCAGCTACTCTGGAGGCTGAGGCAGGAGAATAGCGTGAACCCAGGAGGCAGAGCTTGCAGTGAGCTGAGATCATGCCATTGCACTCCAGCCTGGGTGACAGCGAGATTCTGTCTCAAAAAAAAAAAAAAAAAAAAAAGCCAGGCCTCCTTGCCCCAACTCTGGACTCCTCTGATGGCTGCCCTAGAACTCCCCAGAGGGTCATTTCCACTGTGACTGTATTGCAGCTCCACTTTTCCTTCTGTCCAATTCCATGCCTTCCTGTCCCTTCCCTAGGCATTGATCCCAAGAGTACTTCCTAAAAACCTCCTGCACACTTAACCTCTGGGTAAGATCTGCTTCAGGAAATCTAACCTGCAACACCCTGGAAATCACTCCCTCCATTAGAGTGTCCTGTGAAACGGCCCTCTAGTTCTTATATATAAATAGAGGTAATATACCTTGGCTTACCTACCATAGAGTTGCTGTGATAATGAGCTCAGAAGGTAAAAGCACTCTGTCATCTGTGAAGTGCTATACAAATGTTCATTATTATTACTAATAACACCAGCACACTGACTATAGGTAAACTAGTTCATGCTGCCAAAGAAAGGTCTTCGTTGTCTTGGTTCTAGTCCTGCTCCTGTGTCCGATACAGCTTTGATCATGTTATCTCAAACAATATACACAGTCAAGTGTATATATTAGCTCTGGGCCATATTTAGCCAACTTCTTTTTCAGTTCCCTCTCATGCACATCCCACATTCTGCCCAAACAGTCCCCCTGCTACTCAAACCTGCCCTGCACTTTGTCACAGCTAAGCTGGTGCTCACACCACCACTTCCTCTTTAATGCCACTGGCTTTGCCTGTTGAAATTCTGTCTACTATTTAAGTCTCATTGCAATGACTACATGTTAGAAAGTGTCTCCTTCTAGCTATGGACCAACAACTCTCCTTCTTTCCAGAGCACACTTTCTAGAAGCAATCCACACTGAGGGTTTCCCCTGCCTACCTCCTAGGGGTCCCTCAAACTACCAGTCTGTTCTGATCCACTGCTCTTACTTAGGTCACCTCTCAGTTGCCAGATCAAGTCAATGGCAAAATATCTTACTTGACCTCACTGCAGCAGTTAAGACTGTTGACTATTCTTTGTTCTATAGAACTCTCAGCCCTTAACTTGTGAGATACCACTGTTTCTTTCTCTCCTGGTTCTTCTCATACTTCTGATTGTGCCTTCTCAGCCTCCTTCTATTTTCACTCTTACAAACCAAACCGCAAGAGTGCACACACAACCCTCTGCCGCTCTCTCATTATTTGCCACTCCCACGTATAAAGCTTTAAAATCAACCTGTATGCTGACAATTCCTGTTCGGACCTGATTACGACCTTTCATGAATTCCAAAATCAGGCTACCTGCTGCTTTCTGCACATATTTATTTACCTATAAACCACACAGGTACAAACATATTCCAAACTGAACTCACCTTCATTCTCACCCACTCCCAAGAGACATGAATGACATTCAAAGAACACCCATGCCCATTAAGTTTGGGCATTGTCCCCAAATATGCCATGCTCATTTCTACTTCTTCACTAACTCCCCTCCTCTCTACTTGCCTGAGACTCAGTATTCCTTCCTTCCAGCCACAGCTCAAGTGCTAGCTCCTTCACAAAGCTCTCCTAGCCTCTTTGGCCCAGACTGTTTTCCACTTTTGTTGTGTCAAGTGCATTGTAAACAGGTAAGAGGCATAGTAACTTCGGGTAATGAAGTTGGAAACTCCTTTATGTTTTAAAGAAAAGTTTCTCCATGACTGGTAAGAAGATGCATACATAATACAGTACTTACAGACCTTGACCAACGGGCAAATGGCCAAGAAAGAAATCCTCTAAATGACCGCTGATCCAGCAAGACACCACTCCAGGTATTCCCCGGAGAGATTCCAAGAAGGATCAACTCAGCACCACTAGCTTCCAGCCACTCTTGATTTCTTGAACATTTTTTTGAATGCTCACACCTCATGCTGTTACTTCTGCCTAAAATGTCCATCTCGTTCACTCTTGCTTTCTTGTAGGTTGAGCTTCCTCATCCACTAAGGCTTAGCCCAAATGTTCCTTCCTCTGTGAAGCTTTTTAACTCCCTCTGAACTTCCCATGAATTTATTTCCTCCTCTTCTTTCTGCCCAGGTAATTTGTTCCTACTCCTAGTATAGCACTCACCAAATCACAGTATAGTTTTACATCTGGGCCCCTGAAAGTCTCCCTGGTAACTGAGGGCAGGGTGGACAACATGTTCATCTTTAGGCTATCAGTCTGATTCAAAACAGTGTGAAGACTATGTGCCTATGGGTGCTTTACAAAAACTCAATGTGGGGAGTATTATATATTGATTCCAATTTATGGAAGAAAAAAATGGATTTAGGGAGATTAGGAAACTCATTAAATCACCGTATCCCCAGCATCTGGAACAAAAATATTTGTTGAAAGACTTTCTAAGTATATTTGTTTTAGGTCACATAGCTAATAAATGGCAAAGTAGGAAATCAAACCCAGGACCTCTTGGCTCTTAAACCCCATGTTTTCATTATCCCTAGAAAGCATCCTTCCTTTACTTCATAGCAGCATGAAAAAGACAGACAGAAGCCCCTCCTAGTAACTCTGTGGAAGCACCCTGTTCTCATCTCTTGCCTTCTATTTGAGTTGACATAATCCCTGCTCATAAATGCTATTTCAAACATTGTCACTGCTTTCCCAATCTCTTTAAGTCACTTGAGTTTTTTTTCCCCACACACATTAGAATGTGAAAGCTCAACTGGACACAGTAGCACTTGCTGATGCTAGAGGAGAAGGGTCTTTGTTGAAGGTACTTGATAAAAGTCATTGACCCAGAGGAAGAGAAGTAAAGCACTGACTTAGACGTTATATAAATGTATGGATGTGTATTTTTTCAAGGCTGAACCATCCAAATTGGAAAGGAAAACAAAGTTTTGCTCTAAAACTCTCAAAGCCAAAACTCTGAATATATACTTTAAGTCTGGGCATTTCCACCCTCATGACTTAGATAATTAAAAAAAAAAAAAAAAGGCCACTTTAAATAATCTTCACTTTATCTGTGGTTTCACTTTCAGTGGCCAACTGCGGTCCAAAAATATCACATGGAAAATTCCAGAAATAAACAATTCATGAGTTTTAGATTGTGTGCAGTTCTGTGTAATGAAATCTCACGTCATCCTGCTCCGTCCTGCTTCGGATGTGACTCACCCCTTTGTCCAGCGTATTTGCACGGTAGATACTACCTGCTCGAGCAGCCACTGTGTTTTCAGGCTGGCTGTCACGGTATTGCAGTGCTCATGTTCGAGTAACTCTTATTTGACTTCATAATGGCTCCAAAGCACAAGAGTAGTGATGCTGGCAATTTGGATATGCCAAAGGGAAGCCATAAAGTGCTTCTTTTAAGTGAAAAGGTGAACGTTCTTGACTTAAGGAAAGAAAATCGTACGCCAAGGTTGCTAAGATCTACTGTAAGAATTAGTCTCCTATCTGTGAAATTGTAAAGAATGAAAGAGAAATTCATGCTAGTTTTGCTGTCATACCCCAAACTGCAAAAGTTATAGCCATGGTACATAAGTACTTAGTTAAGATGGAAAAGGCACTAAATTTGGGGGTGGAAAACATAAACAGAATAAACAGAAATGTGTTCCAACTAATGGCAATCTGGTTCACTATTATCCACAGTTTCAGGTACTCACTGCAGGTCTTGGAACACATTCCCTGTGGATAAGGGGAACTACTGTATTTCTTTACCTAATAAAAATAAATCAAAATGCCGGACAAAAAAAAAATCCCTAGATGGGGGAGCATACAATTTCGCATCTATCCTAAATTAGCAATTATCAAGTATTCTTCAAAGGCTCATATGAGCCTGGGTTGCTTTGCAACCAAGGAGTTTCACTGTTGATGCTAAGCCTAAAAATAAGACCAGGAGCTCGGAGAAGTTCAATGCCCAAGTTGCTACTCACAGATTTATATTCAAAGTTTCTAAAACTTGGTTTGTTATTTCTATTTGCCTGTGCCTAAAAATGCTCAGATAGTTTAGACATTGTTATGGCCAGTTTACTTTGTAATGTTCTTGAAAACAACATCTTGGTCTTACAAATCACAAGGGGTGCAAAATGTAAGGGAATGGCTCAGTGCAAAACTAGCAACAGTATGGTAAAATATTCAGAATATACTGATGAGTTCAGCCACTTTATCTCCCTATATAGTAGGCACAGGTCTACTCTTGGGTGAATGGAACAGTCTCTGGGAGCTAGTTCATTGGTATGAAGACATTTCACAGCACTTTAATAATCCAGCATTTATGCCTGCAAAGGTCTATTTTCCTGGGAACTGAGGCTTAGCATTCCTACAGAGCACTAGCTACACCACCCTTGACAACTGTATTATAAACTTTGATTGCTGTAGCCAGCATATTTTTGACTTATATAAATTGGTTACAACATTACATGTAACCTTGCCTATTTTTCCCACTATATCTGAGAGTAGAATTCCAACAATAATGGTTTGGATGGCTCTATTTTTAAAAAAGAATGTTTCTATAATGTTTATCAATATTAATTATTATGCTTAAATACAAATACAAATGGCATGTTGGAACACTTAATTGAATTCAACATCACCATCCTTAACATATTAGAAACTAAGGTGTTTATGTTTGCTTACCTTTTGTGCATTTTCCCCATCTTCAACTGCAAAATCTAGTCTGGGCTGCCTGGGGCTGATCAGGTCTTTTAGTGTTAAACAATTTACCTCCATCTGTAATGCACAATTACACTAGAAAATGATTTTGCAATTAGGTATTTTTTCCTCAAACAAAAATATCTACATATGTGTTACTTGTTTGTCAATATGAAATTCCCCCTTCTCTAAGCACATCCTGGGCATTTCCAGGAGTTGTAGCCACCCTCAACTTTCTAAAACTCACGCGAACAAACTCAAACACCTAAAGTGTGCTTAGTAATACTGAAAATCTGGGAAGAAAAAAATCTACAAAAATAGTAACTCCTTATGAAAAGCTAGATGGCAAAATAAAGTTACCAAGTCGGAAGGGTGTTGGGCAAATCTGTCAGAAAAGTACAGGGTCTCCCAGGTCAGTTAATTTTGGCGCAAAGAACTGAGAGGAATTCGGCTTTGAGGGGTTTTGAATCGGGGGAAGGAAACCCGATCGCTAGACCAAACCCACTCAGCGCTGAGCGCAGCCCCTTCCCAGGCCTCCAAGCAGATCCCCCAAATAAACTTCTCCAATGAAAGCTCCAAGTTGTGGGGAAGGGCAAATCCCCTCTACTGCCGGGCCGGAGTGAGAGCTGCACCCGGCACACCCTCTGCGCACCGGGTTCCCCGGCAGAAACACCTCGAGCCCTCGCCAGCCGGGGGACGTGAGGAGTGGCAGGCTGGCAGCCGGGGCGGGAGTGGGCCCTGTATCCCAATTCCCGCCTCCCCACTGGCGCTGGGGCCGCACGCTTACCCCTGCTTTCCTAAGGAGGCTTCCTGCCTCTGCAGGGACCTCCACGGACCCAAGCCGATGAGGGAAGGTGGTGCGGCGATCAGCAGCCGGGCGGCGGCATCGGGAAGGGAGAGCGAGGCGCGCAGATCCCCGCGCCGAGTGCCCTGGGCTGGCGGGGACCCCGCGGCGTCCGGGCAGCGCCAGCGCTCAGACCGGCCGAGCGCAACTCCAGCCTGGATCGTAGTCCCCGCTAAAACACCTCCTCTGGCGCCTTGAGACCGAATTTGAGAATCCACCAATCAGCGGCGGCCGGCGGGGCGGCCCCGGCCAATCGTGCGGCGGCACGGCCCGGGCTCACCGCCCCTCGGAGTCTTGGCGCTCCGAGCCGCGCGTTTTGCCCTCACCCGCCCAATTGTTGCCGCCTCGGCCCCCTCCCCCTTCCGGGTACCTGGAAACCTCGGGCCCGGGAGCCAATTCCTGCTGGGGACGCGGGCCCCGGCGGCCGCGGGAAGCCAAGGTGGGGGCGGCGCGGGGCGGCGCGGGGCGGCGGGAGAAGGAAGAGGAGGAGGAGGGCTCTTTTGTTATGCATAGAAGACCCGCGCACGTCCCCGCGGCTTGCCGCGCCCGGGGACCCCGGGCACAGCCAGAGGACAGGAAAGCAGATGGGGTTTGGAAGAACGATCTACACCCTCTGGATGCTGCTGCCGCCATCCCCGCCCGCCCTCAGCAACCTGTGCGGAAGCGGAGTTGTCCAGACTTGCCGGGGCAAACTTCTTAACATCGCACGCTGGTGTGACACATGAACCATGGTTACCGCTCTGCTGCGAGCAGATGGCACGCCAGTTAGCCCTGGAGACAAGACTGGAAGCCAAACCAGAAGTTTTTCTAACTTTTTTTTGTTTGTTTGTTTTGTGTGTGTGGCAAATCCGGAAATGTTTTTTGGTGTTCCCTTTTCGGCAAATTGCAAATAATTAGGAGGGAAAAAGCTTTATATAAAAAAGTAGTTCTTTGCAATAGGGACTAGCATTCTGGGAGACAGTCTAGAAAATTTCCTCAACACCACTGATCTGTATTAAATGTTTCACTTCTTTCATCCTACAGTTTCTTGTTTAAAATATGAATGTTGGTAGAGATGGACTTTTTACAAAACAGACTTTATTGTTTAGAAGTTTTCAATTTACAGAAAAATTGAGATAGTACCAAGAATTCCCATATATTCAGCACCCAATTTCACCCACTATTAACATTTTGTGTTAGTATAGAATATTTTTTGAAATTAATGATCTAATATTGGTACATTCTTCTGAGCTCAAGTCATTACTTTATTCAGATTTACTTAATTTTTTCCTAATGGCCCTTTTTTCTGTTCAGGATACCACATTACCTTTAGTTCCTATGTCTCTAGGCTCCTCTTGGCTATGACAGTTTCTCATACTTTCCTCATTTTTGATACCTGGACATTTTTGAGTAGTATTGGTCAAGTATTTTGTAAGATATCCCTCAACTGAAATGTGAGACAGCCTTCTTAAAGCATCAGACATTCTTAAATGTACAGACATGTCCCTACCCCCCATCTACTTTACAGCAAAGGTATCATTTTCCTTTCTATACCAAGACTCCATTCTTCACCACTTACCCTCCAAATATTTTTATTTTATTTTATTTTTGGAGACGGAGTCTTGCACTGTCACCCAGGCTAGAGTGTAGTGGCCCAATCTCGGCTCACTGAAACCTCCACCTCCTGGGTTCAAGCGATTCTCTGCCCCAGCCTCCCGAGTAGCTGGGACTACAGCCGTGCGCCACCACGCCCAGCTAATTTTTGTATTTTTAGTAGAGATGGGGTTTTGCTGTGTTGGCCAGGTTGGTCTCGAACTCCTAACCTCAGGTGATCTGCCTGCCTGCCTTGGCCTCCCAAAGTGCTGGGATTACAGGTGTGAGACACCGTGCCCGGCCTCAAATACATATATTTTAAATGAACTCTCAGCAGAATTCAGAATGCTCAATCAAGTCCTTCACTTCGTACTCTAGATTGCTGGTAAATACGGCCTAAAAAAAAAAAAATCACTGCTAGGTCATACATTGAAAAGAGAAAAGTATGCAAAACATTAAACAAAAGAAAATAGTAATAAAAATCTGACATTTTTTATAGGAATAACATTTTGAACTGAAATCTCTTTTGTAGGTAGAAACCTAATGAGAAGTTTAAACAATAAAAAATTGCAACTTATTAAATTTTGCACATATGTGGAAGCAGAAGTTTAGATAAGGAAATACTTTTCCCAACAGTATTCATTTTCTATGGCTGTTGTAACAAATTACAACTGGCTTATAAGGACAGAGATTTAGTCTCTCACAGTTCTGGAAAGTTAAGGTATTCCCAGGGCCACACTCCCTCTGGGGCTCTTGTCCTTTTCCTCTTCCAGTTTCTGGTGGCTGTTAACAGTCCTTGACACGTGGCAGCCTCACTCCAATTTCTACCTCCATAGTTACGTTGCTTTCTCTTTTGTCTGTTAAGTCTCTCCTGTGTGTCTCCTATGAGGACACCTGTCAATGAATTTAGGTCCCACCTGGATAGTCCAGGATGATCTCATCTTGAGATCTTCAATTTAATTGCATCTGGGAAGATCCTCTTTCCAGAGTAACATTCCTTCATGGGTTCTGGGGATTAGGACATGGATACACCTTTTTGGGGCCCACCATTCAGCCTTCTAGACCAACATTCAAATTATTAAAGTCCATTCATTTCTCTGATATTTCAAAATACTAATGATCGTTTCTTTGAGGTTAGACAGTTTCACGGTACAGGGCTTTTCCTAACATTTTTAGAGTAAAAGTACTTTTTCTATTTTGATACAAATGTAATTTCTATTCAAGTTACAAAAAAAACTCAGTTGGATACATCACTTCAGGCACTTATAATTTCATTGATTATAAGAGTTATCTTAGATTTGGAGGAAAACTGAAAAATAAATGTTTGATGGACAAATTCAGAGACATTATTCCAACACACTTATTTATATTGATGTTTTTAAGTCCCAGAATGCATACATAACCTGTTAATCTCTCGGTAATTCAGTTGACACTGATGTTGGCTGGGAACTAGGCTGGAGTATCAAGAAGAGTCTCGACATGTGACCTCTCCATATGGCCTGGTCTAGATATCCTGGTAGCTCAAGGTAGTTGGACTTCTTCCAGGGTGGCTCCTGGGATCCAAAATGAATGTGTCATGTAGCAAAGTGGAAATAGTATCACCTTTTGTGACGTAGCCTAAGAACTGATAGCATCAATTCCACTACAGTTTTTGGGAGGAAACAGTCAAAAATCCATCCACATTCAAGGGGAGAAGACATATACCTCACTCTCAATGGGAGAAGTGTCAAAGAATTTGGGGCCATATTTCTCTCTCTCTCTCTCTCTCTATATATATATATATATGTGTGTGTGTGTGTGTGTGTGTGTGTGTGTGTATATATATATATATATATATATATATAAAAATAAGTTCTGGGATACATGTGCAGAACATGCAGGTTTGTTACATAGGTATACACGTGCCATGGCATGGTGGTTTGCTGCACCCATCAACCGGTCATCTACATTAGCTATTTCTCCTAAAGCTACCCCTCCCCTTGCTACCCCTACCCCTCCCCTTGCCCCCTACCCCATGACAGGCCCTGGCATGTGATGTTCCCCTCCCTGTGTCCATGTGTTTTCATTGTTCAACTCCCATTCGTTAGTGAGAACATGTGGTGTTTGGTTTTCTGTTCTTGTATTAGTTTGCTGAGAATGATGATTGCCAGCTTCATCCATGTCCTGGCAAAGGACATGAACTCATCCTTTTTTATGGCTCCATAGTATTCCAAGGTGTATAAGTGCCACATTTTCTTTATCCAGTCTATCACTGATGGGTATTTGGGTTGGTTCCAAGTCTCTGCTATTGTGAACAGTGCTGCAATAAACCTCTTCATGTGTCTCCATAGTAGAATGATTTATAATCCTTTGGGTATATACCCCAGTAATGGGATTGCTGGGTCAAATGGTATTTCTGGTTCTAGATCCTTGAGGAATTGCCACACTGTCTTCTACAATGGTTGAACTAATTTACACTCCCACCAACAGTGTAAAAGCATTCCTATTTCTCCACATCCTCACCAGCATCTGTTGTTTCCTGACTTTTTAATGATCACCATTCTAACTGGCATGAGATGGTATCTCATTATGGTTTTTATTTGCATTTATCTAATGACCAGTGATGAGGAGCATTTTTTCATATGTCTGTTGGCTGCATAAATGTCTTCTTTTGAGAAGTGTCTGTTCATATCCTTTGCCCACTTTTTGATGGGGTTGTTTGTTTTTCTCTTCAACATATTTTAAAACTACCGCACCAGGTTTTGTGCCAATTGGAGTATCCTATGACTCTACCTCAATAATTTCTGCCTGAGACATCATTGACTTTGAAACAGTATAGTGTTACCTACATGGCAGCTCTCCCTACATTTCTGTATTGTGCTAATCTTGTAGTTCTCAACCTTGTCTATTCTTTATAGTCATCTGGGGGAGATTTAAAAAAATACCAGCAGCTGAACCCCACACCTAGAGATTTCTAATTTACTTGATCTGGAATTGGCCCTTGGGTATCAAGTATTTTTTAAGTGCTTAGTGTGTTGTTCCTTAGCATCTTGCTAGTTGTACTCTTCTTTCATTGATTCTTTTGGATGCTTCTGACTCAGTGATTTCAGAAATGGATCCTCACGTCCCATCAATGAGGACAGGAAGAGCCGGACAGGTGTGCTGCCCTCCAGAGTAGGCACAGAGGTTTAAAGGGGCTGCATCTCGCTGGTTTGTGGCAATGTCACTGGTTTTTGGAAGGAGTTGAGGCTGTAAATGAGGAATCTGATGAGCAGGGTGGAGCTGTAACAGAAGAGTGAGTAACAAAGGCTGTGCTCAGAAGGATGTATATACAGATTATGTCTGACATTCCTCTCTGCAAAAATCTCCACCACTTCTCAAACCTGTGAATAGTCTTTTACCCTTTTGGGGTTTCACATCCCAAGATTAATCACACTTTACAGAAAAAAAGAGATTTATCACATTTTACAGAAAGAATATACCGTAGTAAAAGTACAATTCATGTCAGTCAGCTCTAGGGCAAGATAGTGTGAGTTGTTCGGTTAAAGTATCAGCCTCCTCACATACTTTCCTTTTCTCCCACTACTGCAAGTGCAGTCATCTTGGTGTGACATCTGTTCTCAAAAGAGCAGCCACAGAAAGGAATTGGTAACTGATTTTTCACCACAAAGGTAACAGGGATCTTGACTTCACATCGTGGCAGTTGTCAAGTTTCTTTGCATGGACCTGTTCAACAGTTCTTAAACTGAGTCTTGCCATTTAAAATGCACTTTAGTCTTCAGCCATTTGTGGGTCTGAGAATGTGATGCATTTGCTTCTCTATTTGATAACAACTTCAGAGAAGGCAAAAAAATCTATTCTTGGAGCAACTATAAGCAATGTGAGGAGAATATGAGAAACCAAAGTGATTGGTTCCTGCTCATGACCTTAGCCACAATAAAAGAAAATAAGGCCAAAGGGCATTTGTGGCTCCCATCTCAAATGACATCCAGATGTCCAGCTATTTAAAGGGAGGTGCCTCAGCTGTGATCAAATGTCCCATAAGGAATGGAGGGAATTCATTCTTTAAGTTTTAGACTCCTTGTGATCGTTAGCACTATGGAGCAAGGTCGGTGTTCTTAAAATAGTCACGTGATTTGCATCCTCGCTGAATGCATATAGTGTATTTGGTATGCATATGTGTGTATGTGTGTATTTGTGTGTCCATGCTGAAGGCAGAGGCCGGGGAGGAAGTTGTGTTAAAGCAAACATTCCAGATCACAGTGGACTGGGTGAATTTTAAGTTGGGTGTTTCTGGGAAAAGTATGAGAATGATGAGTGTATAATGGACCACTCCTTTACATAATGCTGCATTTATGCTGCAGGTTTGGGCAAGGTTATTTGGAGGCAACACAGTGCACCCATTGGTGCAATAAAAATGGGATGGACTACTGCCCTGGAAGTGAGATTCTGGAGAAAATGGGGAACACAAGCTTCCCTCTAATCACCAAAGTCTTATCCAGACGGGAAGGAATTCACTTTGAGGAGTAGAGGGACATAGATTCTAGGTCAACCTTGAGAATGAACTTCCTGGGTACCTAGAACAAAGCATGTTCCCTATATAGGCCTTAGTTTTCTCTGTGAAGTGATGGGCTGACTTGGAAGACCTCTGTAGAACCTGTGAATTCTTAATATTTAATGCTTAATACTTAATTATTCTTAATATTTAAATATTAAGTTTTATTATAATACTTACTTGGATACTTAGTATATCCCTTAAAATGATTTGCTATTGACTCCTAATCACTCGGTGTGGAAATGTAAGAATATTGCTAAAACCACTTTCTTATTTTCATGTTTGGTGAAACTGAACACATTCTCACTAAATTACATTGTGTACATTTATACATTAATAATGAGAATGTTAAATATTGGGCCAAAGTGACCTTTGTGACCTTCATTTTTAGAAGCTTAGAATTAAATGGCTGAAGGTAACTTTTAATACCTACCAAATAGCATTATTTTAATAGCATTTTTTTTTTTTTTTTTGAGATGGAGTCTTGCTCTGTTGCCTAGGCTGGACTGCAGTGGTGCGATCTCGGCTCACTGCAACCTCTGCCTGCCGGGTTCAAGCAATTCTCTGCCTCAGCCTCCCGAGTAGCTGGTATTACAGGCACCCACCACCATGCTTGGCTACTCTTTTTTTTTGTATTTTTAGTAGAGACGGGGTTTCACCATCTTGGCCAGGCTGGCCTTGAACTCCTGACCTTGTGATCTGCCCACCTTGGCCTCCCAAAGTGCTGGTATTACAGGCGTGAGCCACCGCTAGCATTTGTTTATTATGATACGTTGTAGGATGAAATGAGAATTTTTTCAGTTTGCAGTGGAAAGAGGAGTTTGGAGTAAGGGGTGATGGAGAGAGGAGTTTGGGGTTAGCAGCTCAGGGACTGAAAACTTAAGTTCAAATACAATGAATGCATTTTTCTAACCTAGAGCCACCTCATCGGATGTAGAGCTTTCTACCTTGAAAAAACTAGAGATGTGGGATATTGAACCCACCATCTCTTCACTAAACAATCCGAGGGAAATATTAATGGACAAAGGTTAAAGTATTGTCTGCACAAAATCAATGTTAAAATACAAACTTCCTGGAAAGAGTAATCATTTAACCAACATCATCTATGTAGCACATAAGACATCTTTACTCAAAACATACCTGGGGGTTAACTTTAAAGTAGGAAACAATGTTTTCTCTGTAACATCTTATATATAGTACTGAAATCTCTAATCTTGTTCAAAGACTCACCCTGCCTTCCCAGTAAATTTTGGGAGTCCTCAATCATCCATACTCTTGTAGAAGTTCTTTCAGCCTCTGTGACACCCCAGGACTCCACTGACATGTGTTGGCTTCTTTCTGCCCCACTGCTGATGCATGACATCAGGCATCTCCAGGTAGCACAACTCCTTCCTGCTAACTAAGCTGTCATCACTCAGAAGGGCAGGGAGCTCTGTATCCTCCATCAAGGGAGCCAGCTGCTGCTACTGCCATCAGTCTGGGTCTTTGCTGTGTCTAAGACTGGGGCTCCTGCTGCTACTGGTTCTGCAGAGTGTGGAAGATGGCACTGACCGCCCTCTCAAACCCTCACACTGTCTGCAAAGTCATATCAGGCCAGCACATCTCTGATATCTAATATTTTGTTGCATTTATTTCTTCCCTCTTAGGCCTACATCTGTTTATTAAGCTGGTCTAATATTCTTTTTTTCTGTATGTCTAATTTCTATTTATTTAGCTGATGAAGTTAAATTCTTCCTATTGTTTTGACTCAAGGAGGATCTCTTCCTGTTATCGCATTCGGTTTTACTGGATGTCTCATTGTTTAATAATGTTCCCATGTGGCCACTTCTGCTATTTTCTTAAGCTTGCTGAAATTTGCACTAGGAATTTCTTTTTCCATTTTACTGATTTCTTTACTTTTCTGATGATTATTAAATATTTTATTGATGTTTGCAATTACAATGACATAATGCTAGAGTATCCTTTTAGGGTAGTTTGTTTTTGTTCTTTTCTCTAATTTTTTTGGTAATCTTGTGATTTTATTTATTTATTTATTATTTTATTTTTTATTTTATTATTATTATTATTATTTGAGACAGAGTCTCACTCTGTCACCAGGCTGGAGTGCAGTGGCACGATCTCGGCTTACTGCAACCTCTGCCTCCTGGGTTCAAGCGATTCTTCTGCCTCAGCCTCCCGAGTAGTTGGGACTACAGGTGCGCGCCACCATGCCCAACTAATTTTTGTATTTTTAGTAGAGACAGGGTTTCACCATGTTGGCCAGGATGGTCTCCATCTCTTGACCTCGTGATCCACCCACCTCCACCTCCCAAAGTGCTGGGATTATAGGCATGAACCACCGCACCTGGCCATATTATTATTATTTTTTTTAGAGACAGAGTCTGATGTGGTTTGGCTATGTCCCCACCCAAATCTCAGCTTGAATTGTAACTCTCACAATTCCCACGTGTCATGGGAGGAACCTGTTGGGAAGTGATTGAATTATGGGAGCGGGTCTTTCCTGCGTTGTTCTCGTGATAGTGAATGAGTCTCATGAGATCTGATGGTTTTAAAAGTGGGAGTTTCCCTGCTCAAGCTCTCTTTTTGCCTGCTGCCATCCATGTAAGACGTGACTTGCTCCCTTTGCCTTCCACCATGATTGTGATGCCTCCCCAGACACATGGAATTGTAAGTCCATTAGACCTCCTTCTTTTGTAAATTGCCTAGTCTCAGGTATGTCTTTATCAGCAGCATGAAAACAGACTAATACAAGGTCTCACTCTGTTGCCCACCCTCTATGATGGTGGCAGTGGCCATATCATAGCTCACTGTAATCTTGAACTCCTGTGCTCAAGCAATCCTACCACCTTAGTGTCCCATGTAGCTGAGACTACAGGTGCATGCCACTATGCCCAGCTCATTTTTTAATTTTTTGTAGAGATGAAGTCTCATTATGTTGCCCAGAATGGTCTTAAACTTCTGGTGTCATGCAATCATCCTACCTCCCAAAGTGCTGGGATTATAGGCATGAGGTACATTGCCTGGCCTATTTTTTTTTAATATTTAAAAATATCAAGAAGATTCTACCTTAGTCTCTGTCAACATAAACCAAGCAAAATAGTTAGTTGAAAAATAATACAGTTATGTAGACAATTTTCTTTTCTTCTCCATTGACTCTTTTAAAGGAGTAAAAAATTATAAGGTCATATGAAGCATTTGACAACATATTTTAAAGAGAGGAAAGCAGACAATTTTGCCAATATGAGATACCACATGTTATAACTATATGGCTAATTTTTTTTTAAAAAGCAAGAGATGAATTAACATTTTTACAATAGTAAGAAAATAATTGGGCTTTCACCATTATCTAATGATTTTTTCATTAAATATGCAATTACACAGTGAAGAAAGGAAATCACCATAGAGTCTGTGAGGCTGATAAGAGGCAAGATTCACTGAATTTAAGAGCTGTTAAAAGGACATCTTGAAGTTTTCTAATTAAAGTGGTAGTCTGATAGTTAATTTTATATGTCAATTTGTATGGGCCATGATGTCCAGATATTTGGCCAAACATTGTTCTAGAAGTTTCTATAAAGATACTGCTATGGTTTGGATGTCTCCTCCCAAACTCATATTGAAATTTAATTGCCTTAGAACAGTAGGAGTGTTAATACAAAAATTTTTCAAAAAATTTAATCACCATTGTAAGAGTGCTAAAAAATGGGGCTTTAAGATGAAGCGATTAGGCCACGAAGATTAATGGCCATGAGGACTGGATTAATGCCATTATCTTGGGAGTGGGTCAGTTATCTCTGGAGTGTGTTCCTGATAGAAAGGTTCAGCTCAATTTTCTCTCTCTCCCTTACTCGCTCTCTGTGTGATGACTTCTGCCCATTATGATGCAGCAATAAGGCCCTCACCAGATGTAGTCCCTTGATCCTCTACTTCCCATCCTCTAAAACTGAGCCAAAAAAAGAGAAAAAAAATTGTCTTTGTAAGTTATTCCCTCTTAGGTATTCTGTTATAGCAGCAGAAAATGGACAAAGATGGGAGCTTTGGTTGAGATTTACATTTAAATTGGTGGACTTTGAGTAAAGCAGATTGCCCTTCATAATCTGAGTGGTCCTCATCCCATCACTGAAGGCTGAACAAGAACAAAATGATGACCTTCCTGGAGCAAGAGTCAATTCTGCCTTCTGACATCATCTGCAACCTCTGTTCTTCTTGGTTCATACAATAGACTGCCTTTGGACTCAAAGTGTAACTCTTCCCTAAATTTTCAGTCTGCCAGCCTCCTTCATCAGATTTTGGACTTGCCAGAGTGCCATAGATCACATGAGCCAATTCCTCAGAATAAATGTCTTTCCGTATATACACCCTATTGGTTCTGTTTCTCTGGAAAACCCTGGGTAATACAGGTAGCCTAATATTTTTGTTTGTTTGCTTGTTTTGAAATAATCATAGTTGGCTCTTTGAAAGAATCCAAAACAATCTTGTCCCTCAGGCCAATGGCAATCTCATGGTTAACCTGAAAGATGGCACCGAGATGAATATATATTAATAGCATTCAATCTCAATGAAAAGTATTTATGACCTAGGTAACTCAGAAAGCATTCATAAATCCTTCAGCTAGTTTTATTTACTCTTTGCACATTAATTATTAATACTTGTAATGAAACAATAACACTATTATGCATTGGCAGAACCCTTTCGGTACAGAAGACACCAGGCACTTTATGAGGTGCTGGGAGCCAGTTTCTGCTCTCAATGCGTATATAGTTCTCTGACTTGAGCCAGCCAGAGCGTAAGTAGCATTTATGCCTGAATTACAGACAAGGGGTTACCTTAAAGCTATATTCAGAATTCGAATACTGCTTATCTCCTCCCACGCAACCACCCAATTTTAAACCCCCTTCATCTCTCCCATGGATCATTTTAATAGTCTCAAAACTGATCTCCCTGCATGTTGTCCCTCTGTAACTTGTTCCTCAACAGCAGCTACAGGAATCCAATTAAAATATCAGGTTGTGTCCCCTCTCTGCTGCAAACACTCTCATTTCTCCAACTCATTCAAAATAAGAGCCGAAGTCCTCCCAGTGGCTTGAGAGGCCATAAGGATTTGTCTTCTTTTTACTGCTCTCATCTTATCACCTTCAGTTATTCCCTTTGTTTTCTTTGCTTCAGCCACACTTGGCTCTTTGTGGGTCCTTGGAAACACTTGTTATTCTTCTGCTCCAGGAATATGCATTTACATGCATGTTCTCCCTGCCTGGAATACTTTCCATCCAGTATTTCATCAAGGGCTGCATAGCTCTTTCCTTTTCTTTCAGAAGCATATTCATTAAGGTAATGCTAGATTCTATACCAAGAAAACCTCAAAATTTCAGTGGCTTAACAAAACAGAAGTTTATCTCTCATCCATGCAATGGTCTAATAATGATGTTCCTGGATAGCAGGTGGTTTTCCTGTATGTGGTGACTCTAGGACCCAGGCTTCTTCCACCTTGTGCTTTGCAGTGTCTTTACACAGGCCCCTAAGTCCAGCTCGAACAAGAGGAAAAAAGACAGTATATAAAGCATACATCACTCTACTCACATCCTCTTGAAAGAACAACCAGTCACATGGCCACTCTGGATTCAAATGGAGCTGTGATTGTAGTCACTGGCTCTGCAGCACATTCCAGCAAGAAACTAATACTATGCATAGAGAGAAAGAACTCATGGGGCAGCTAGCCATTGCTGCTACAAACTACCCTCTGGCCACCAAATATCTGTGTGGCCCCTTCCCTAAAGGAGACAAAGTTCCAGCTACGACAAAGTCCAGCAACTCCGGCTAATGTGGCTCCTTTGGTTCAGAGATCTATGAATTTAAAGACACATTTTATTTTCCACTTTCTGCATCCACCAATCTAATACAGCAAATATGGACCCAGAACAAGATAACTAAAATAAAAACTCTTATTTGGACAGGGGAAGACTGGAAGACCTATGGCAGCAACTGGTCCATAGCCATGAGAAATCCAACTGGGTAGACATTATGAAGTCTCTCTGCCCTTGGATAGAGCAGATTTCTTCATTAGAGCATGGTCCTGCTTTGTAGGAGGAACTTCCTTTTCCCTGTTCTCTATGTTCCTCACCTGTGCTCTCTGTGATGTTCTTTGTTTGTCCATTATACTTCCTGGCAGTATCTGAGATTGGCATCAAGGAACATGACTTCCTTGGAGCTTGCACAGCTTTCACACCTGCTTCTTACTGGTAGATATTTGAAATCCTGGGGAAATTTTTACAGCCACAGGTGTTCAAGACAGAGTTTACTGTTTCTGTGAATTTTTGGGAAACACGATTCCCTTGATTTCCATTCAGTTCAGTGTGACAGTAACCATATCCAAAGTTCTTTCCCAGAAATGATGCTTAAAGACTGCTCTGTTTCTTTCCTTGTATTTGCTTGTCCCTACACTTTTCTCTCTTAATTTAATGCAGTTAACTTGAAGCTCCTTGAAGAAGCAGTGTTGGTAGTAAAAGAATTGAGTTACTATGATGTGTCTGCTTCAACCTTGCAAACCTCTGCTGAACCAAGACAACTCAAGAGCGTTTTGGCTGAATGCATTTTAGGTCCTATGGCCTACTGCTTGGTGTCTAGAAGCAGTCAGTTTTCCAAATCTGCAAGACCCTAAACTCATCTTGATTTCTAGATTCTTTTTATCCTTTATTTCTGCTTGCAAACCAGCCAATTGTTTCCTGATCACATTTCTTTCTTATAACACTTGTTCACTGCAGAAAGGAGCATTCAGCATATTTTATGGCCTTAGTTATGCCCTCCAAAATTCATATGTTGAAGCCCTAACCTCCAATGTACTGTATGTAGAGATAGGGACTTTAAGGAAGTAACTAAAGTTGCAGGAGGTCACAAGGGTGGGGCCCTAATCAAATAGGACTGGTGTCCTTATCAGAAGAGGAAGATGCCTAGGAGTGTGCATGCACAGAGAAAAGGAGGTGTGAGACCACAGTGAGCAGGTGGCCATCTGCAAGCCAAGGAGAAAGGCCTCACCAGAGCCAATCCTGCTGGCATGTTGCTCTTAGACTTTTGGCCTTCACAACTCTGAGAAAATAAATTTCTGTTGTTAAAACCACCCAATCTGTGGTATTTTGTTATGGCAGCCATAGCAGACTAATACAGAATCTAATGACATTCTTTTTTATTTTATTTATTTTTTTATTCCCTGAAACTGAGTCTCACTCTATCACCCAAGATGAAGTGCAGTGGCGCAATCTTGGCTCACTGCAACCTCTGCTTCCCAGGTTCGAGTGATTCTCATGCCTTGGCCTCCCGCGTAGCTGGGACTACAGGTGCCCGCCACCACACCTGGCTAATTTTTGTATTTGTAGTAGAGACGGGGTTTCACCATGTTGGCCAGGCTGGTCTTGAACTCCTGACCTCAAGTGATCCACCCACCTTGGCCTCCCAAAGTACTGGGATTACAGGCATGAGCCACTGCGCCTGGCTGACATTCTGCCTTTCAAAGCACTTACTCTAATGCTACAGCATCACTAGGTACTTGTTCTGTCTTTCAAGTGTCCATAGTAAAACTGTGAAATTCATTTTAACACAGCTCTCTGCTTTCCAGATTCTAATGTCTATTTAGAACCACCTGTTAACTGACTGCTAAAACAATGCCTTATGTTTTAGTTTTGAGTTTTAAATATACCACTTCAAGAAATCAATTTCTGCAACCAGCAGACCTCAACATTTTGGAAGCTTAATGTAAAAAAGTTTACTTCTCACTCATGTAATAATGCAATGTGGTTGTTCCTGGTTGACGGTGGCTGTCCTCCATCAGGGACCTGCCCCCTTTAATCTCATTGCTGTACGGTGTTCTAGACCTGCACTAATATGGTGCCACATGTGGCTACTGAGTTCTTGGAAAGTGGCTGGTAGCTATTGAAATGTACTCTAAGTGTAAGGTACATAGTGGATTTTGAAAAAGAGAATAGAAATTATCTCCAATATTTTTCATGTTGAATACATACTGAAATAATATTTAGAAATATTGTGCTTGGAAAATGTATTGTTAAAATGAATTTCATGTGTTTCTTTTTACTCATACAGAAAATACAGAAGAACATATATGGCTCACTTTATATTTCTGCCAGATAGAACTGTTCTGAAGCCTCAGAGTCTTCTGTTTCAGCTGGCAGAAGGGTAAAGAGAGAGGAGAGAAGGCACACCTAATTCATTAAAGCTCCAGTCTGGAGGTAAGATAAGGCACTTCTGTTCAAATTCCATTGGTGATAATTAGTTACATAGCTATGTCTACATGCAAGAAGGGCTGGGAAATGCAGTCTTGGCTCAGAGGCCAGCTCTTAGCAATAATTCTGCGCTAAGCAGGGGAGCATAAATTTTTGTGGACAGCTAGTTCTATCTACCACAAGGTCTTTGCTCAAACATCACCTCCTCTGTGAAGTCTTCTCTGACCGCTACAACTATCCTGAGCGCTCACTCTCAGCATTCCCTATCTACTTTGTCTGTTTTGTCTTTCTCTAGAATGCTTTCAGTATTTGGCACATTGCATACTTTGTTTATGTTTTCATTTTCTGTCTTTCTTTTTATACGTATAACATCTATGAAGTCATCCTTTTTTTGTCTGTATATTCAGTGCTGTGTGTCCAGTGCCTGGAACTGTGCTGCCATGTATGAGACACTCAAGGACTGTATGCCAACCCAAAGATGATGACCCTTATTGACCTGCTAAACCACAAATAAAGCTTTGAGGAAGACATTTTGGGTCCTTGTGATAACACAGTTCAGAAACTCATTAGTATGGTTCAGATAATTGATGTACTATGTTCTATCAGGACACGTAATTGTGAGAAAACCAGAGTTAGACGTAATGGCAATATCAGCTTGCCTCACAGATGTGAAACTGGCTGTCCTTGAGCTGAAATGACACCCTGGTGTTTTATGTTGTTGTTTTTGTTCTTCACAGTGTTATACTTTTTTTGAGAATTTTAATTTTGTATCTATTTTTACTAGTGGCTAACTGGATACTTTTACATTACAAATCAAGATTCTATTTTTAATTTGGCTGTTTTGTAAGTTATAAATTCTACTTATACCCTTTAGTTATTATTTTAAAAATTGTATCATATCAGCATACTATTACTGCCGCTACTACTCCTCCTACAAAATACTTTGTGGGGTTAAAAAGAAGGCAGAACATAACTTTTCACAACAAATCTATGCAATCTGGGAGGAAGAATATCAGAGTCAAGTTTCTAAATTCCTTGTATTGTTTGGAGAGAATTAAAACATTAACATGTAGACTGTGTTATCATTTAAAAGATAACCAATAGACTAGACATAGAGTCTGTAATCTTTAACCAATAGAATGGGGAAAAATCAAGTGAGAAAGCAAATTACTATTCCAATCCTAGGTTTATACCCAAAAGAACCTAAGGCAGGGATTCAGATATTGTAAACCCATGTTCCTTGAAGCATTATTCATAATAGCCAAAAGGCAGAAAACCCAAGTGTCCATCAGCAGATGAATGGATAAATAAAACGTGGCATATACTTACAATGGAATATTATTCCGTCATAAAAGGAACAAAGTTCTGATACATGCTGCAACATTGATGAACCTTGAAGACTTTATGCTAAGGGAAATAAGACACAAAAGGATAAAGATTGTATGATTTCACTGATATGAAATATCTAAAATAGGCAAATTCCTAGATACAGGAAGTACATCAGAGCTTACCAGAGGCTGGGGAAGGGAGGAATGGAGAGTTATTGCTTAATGGTTACACAGTTTCTGCACTGGGTGACAAAAAATTTTGGAAATGGTGGTGATGGTTGCCCAACATTGTGGATATAGTAACACCACTGAAAGAACATTTGGAATATTGGTTGCTTCTCTCTTTTTCCTTGAAAAAAAAAAAAAAAGGTTAAAATGGCAAGTTTATGTTATGTATATTTTACCACAAATTTTTTTTAAAAAGATGGCAAATTAACAATTTACCTGAAGAAAGAATGAGAAAATAGAGGAAAGCACAATAAAGTACCAGCAAGATGATAGAAACAATATCAGGTAACAATGTCTGTAAGTCAGCTGAACTCACCAGCTAAAATATAGAGATCATTAGATATAAAAATGCAAAATCCACTTGCATGTTTGTAAGGGACATACCTGAAACATAAGGAAGAAGGAAGGTTAAAAGTAAAAGAATAAAAAAAAGACACACCAGGAAAATGCCAAAAAAAGTTAAGATTTTTGTAGCAATATTAGCTAAACTTTAAGATAAAAAGTACTCTTAAAGATACAGATCTTGGTGAGGATGTGGAGAAAAGGGAATGCTAATTCACTGTTGGTGGGAATGTAAATTAGTACAACCTCTGTGGAAAACAGTATAGAGATTTCTCGAAGAACTGAAAACAGAATTTACCATTTGATCCAGCAGTCTCACTACTGGGTATCTACCCAAAGGAAAAGAAATTATTACATCAAAAAGGTACCTGCTTTTCTATGTTTATTGCAACACTATTCACAATAGCAAAGATATGAAATGAAACTTAGTGTCTGTCAATGTCTGTCAATACATATAATGAAAATTATATGTATATATGTGTGTGTGTACAATAGAAAACCACTCAGTCATAAAAATGAATGAAACCACGTCATTTGCAGCAACATGGGTGGAACTGAAGGCCATTATCTTAAGTGAAACAACTCAGAAACAGAAAGCCAAATACTGCATGTTCTCTGGGAGGCAGAGGTTGCAGTGAGCCAAGATTGTGGCACTGCACTCAAGCCTGGGAGATAAAGCAAGACCTTGTCTAAAAAAAATAAAATAACAAAACAAAAACAAAACAAATACTGGAAATTCTCACTTATAAGCTAAATAAGGTTATAATGTTACACATGAACATAGAGTGTGGAATCATAGACAATGGAGACTCAGAAGGGTGAGGGCGGGGAGGGGGTGAGAGATGAGAAATTACCTAATGGGCACAATGTACATTGTTTGGGGGATGGTTACACTGAAATCTAGACTTTACCACCACTACACAATATATCCACGTAACAATACAGCACTTGTAGCCCTTAAATTTATTTTTTTTAACTACTGTTACAGATAAAAAGAGTCACAATGCAATGATAAACAGTTTAAACAGAAAATTCTAATAATTCTAAATTTGCAGGACTCAGTAAAATATATAAAACACAATCAAAAATTTACAAAGCCTTAAAATACAGAGAGTGAATTTGATATAACTAGAGAAGAAGTAGATAACTCTGATATTCAAATGAAAGATTTCAACACATATCTCTCAATTAAAGTTGTACAAACCAAAAATGAATATATGGAAGACACGAATCATACATTTAATAACCTTGAGTTAATGTATATATATAAAACTCTGTACTCCACAATTAGAAAGTATGTATTCTTCTCAAGAACATAAGGAACTTTGAAACAAAAAACCAAATCTGATCATGTGTTAGGCCATGAAGTAAGCTGTAAGAAATGAGTAGGTATGACATAACTTATATTTTCTGTCAACAATGCAATCTAGTATAAAATCAATAGCAAAAATATTTCTAAAATGCAAAATCTCATACATTTGAAAATTTAAAAATATGCATATCTAAGTAACTTAGTGAAAAAGGAATAATAGTCAAAAAGGAAAATATACTTAGACATCAATGATAATAAAAATGCTAAAAATAATTACTGGAACAATGAGTGAGAACATCATTTAGGGGAAATTTTTAAAAATAAATGCTTCTTTTTTAGAAAAAAAAAAACAAAAAACAAAAAAAACAAAAAACAGTTGGCCAGACATGGTGGCTCATGCCTGTAATTGCAGCACTTTGGGAGGCCAAGGCAGAAGGATCAGTTGAGGCCAGGAGTTCAAGACCAGCCTGGGCAACATAGAGAGACCCTGACTAACAAAAAATAAAATAAAACAATTAGCCAGGTGTGGTGGTGCATGCCTGTAGTCCTACTTACTCAGGAGGCTGGGAAGGGATGATAACTTGAGCCCAGAGAGTTGAGGGTTCAATGAGCTATGATTGCACCATTGCACTCCAGCCTGGACGACAGAGTGAGAACTTGTCTCTATTTAAAAAAAAAAAAAAAAGAAAAGAAAAAAGAAAAGGTGGATTGAAAATCAAAATGCGAGGTATAGTTAGAAAAAATATTGAATAAACCAAATGAAAGTAAAATATAAATATCAGACCAGAAATTAATGTAAAAGGAAACAGAGATGCAATGGAGAAGACAGGCAAAGCCTCAAATTCTACACCTAGGTATATATCCCAGACACAGTCTTACACATGTACATCAGATAAAATAGACATAAATGACTGTAATACATTACTAAAATTGAGATAAAAATGGCATTAGCAAAAGTTACAGATAATAAAAATTGACTCAAAGAGAAACAGAAAATCTGAATAGCCTTCTACATTTTACATAATTTGAATTAATATTTAAAAGCCTTCCCATAAAGAAAACTCTAGTCTCAGATGGACTTACTAGTTAATTGTACCAAAAATTTCAGAAGTAATATTTCCAGTAATACATGACAGTTTTCAGAAAACAGAGATTAAAAAAATCACTTCCCAAGTCATTTTTAATATTTTTAAGTCAGAATTTCCCTGAAAATAAACATATTAAAAGATAAGAAAACTAAAGACAAGAACATAGACCAAAAAATTTTAAACAAAATATTAGCAAACCAAATCTAGCAATATAAATAACACCTCATGACCATATCCGATTTATTCCAGAAATGCAAGGTTGGTTTAGCCCTCAATGATCAATTAATGTAATTCACCATATCAAAAGAACAAAGAAGAAAAACCAGATTATCATCTTCATAGATGCAGTAAAAATATGTTTTAGAAATTCAACTCGTTAATGACTAAAAAGAACCCCTGGAAAGCTAGAAATAGAAGAAAATTTCAACCTGGTAAGTGGAGCCTGTGAAGAACCTACAACCAGCATCATACTTAATAGTAAAGACTGGGCCAGGTGCGGTGGCTTACATCTGTAATCCCAGCACTTTGGGAGGCTGAGGCAGGCAGACCACAAGGTCAGGAGTTTGAGACCAGCCTGGCCAACGTAGTGAAATCTGTCTCTACTAAAAATACAAAAATTAGCCAGGTATGGTGGTGCATGCCTGCAGTCCCAGCTACTCAGGAGGCTGAGGCAGGAGAATCACTTGAACCCAGCAGGTGGAGGTTGCAGTGAGCTGAGATCCTGCCACTGCTCTCCAGCTTTGGCAACAGAATGAGACTTCGTCTCAAAAACAAAGCAAAACAAAAATAGTAAAGATTGAATGCTTCCCCTCTAAGACTGGGAACAGGCAAAGGTGTTCACCACTGTGATACAATATATTTTTTCTTTCTTGTTGTTTATTATACTTTAAGTTCTGGAATACATATGCAGAATGTGCAGGTTTGTTACATAGGTATCTACGTGCTTTGGTGGTTTGCTGCACACATCAACTCGTCATCTACATTAGGTATTTGTCCTAATGCTATTCCTCCCCTAACCCCCAGACCCACAGGCCCTGGTGTGTTATGTTCCCCTCCCTGTGTCCATGTGCTCTCATTGTTCAATTCCCACTTACGAGTGAGAACATGCAGTGTTTGGTTTTCTGTTCTTGTGTTAGTTTGCTGAGAACGATGGTTTCCAGCTTCATCCATGTCCCTGCAAAGGACATTAACTCATCCTTTTTTATGGCTGCATAGTATTCTATGGTATATATGTGCCACATTTTCTTTATCCAGTCTATCATTGATGGGTATTGGGGTTGGTTCCAAGTCTTTGCTATTGTGAACAGTGCCGCAATAAACATATGTGTGCATGTGTCTTTATAGTAGAATGATTTATAATCCTTTGGGTATATACCTAGTAATGGGATCGCTGGGTCAAATGGTATTTCTGGTTCTATATCCTTGAGGAATCGCCAGACTGTCTTCCACAGTGGTTGCACTAATTTACACTCCCAACAACAGTTTAAAAGTGTTCCTATTTCTCCACATCCTCTCAAGCATCTGTTGTTTCCTGATATTTTTGTAGAGATCCTGGCAAGAAAGAAGAAATAACAGGTACATAGATTGGAAAAGGAAAAGTAAATTGTTCCATTTGCAGAAGATGTGATAGTTTAGGTAAAAAAGTCCTAATGAACCTTTACAAAAGCTACTAGAATTAATTAGTGAATTTAGTCAGCTGGCATGCTACAAGTTCAATATACAATACTCTTGAATTTTTTATACTAGCAATGAAACACTTGGAAAATCAAATATAAAAAATTGAATACTATTTACATAGTATAAAAATAAAATATCTAAAAATATATTTAATAGATATATGTAATACTTGAACACAGAACAGTACCAAACATTTCTGAGGGAAAGAAAAGAAAATCTAAAAAGAAAAAACAGAGATATATATCATGTTCGTGGATTGGAAGACCCAATGTTAGTAAAATTTAAAAATGTTCCAAATTGATATATCAATTTAACATAACCCCAATCAAAATTCCTATAGGCTGTCTTTTGTAGATCTTAGCAAATTTATTATCAAATTTATATAGAAATGCAGGTGACCTAAAATATCCAATACAATTTTAAAAATTAAGAATGAAGAGAATTTATACTATCTAATTTCTAAGTGCCATAAAGTTAAAACTCAAGATCATGAATATTAGCATAAGAATAGGCATACAGATTGATGGGCTAGAATAGAGAGTCCAGAAATAGACCCATATATACAATTGCTTGATTTTTGATAAAAATTTCAAGTTAATTCAATGGATAAAAATGGTAATTATTTTCAACAAATGGCATTAAAATAACTGGGTATCCACATGGAATAAAACAAAATCTCAGCATATACATCACATTATACACAAAATTATCTTGAAATGGAGGATCATAAACCTAAACGTAAAAGCCAAAATGATAAAAGTTCTAGAAGAACTTATAGGAGACAATCTTTATGAACTTGGAGTAGACAATAGTTTCTTAGATAGGACACAAGAAGTACGAATCATAAAATTATGAAAGAGGAGAAATTAGACTTCCTCAAGATTAAGAACATTTATTCTTTGAAAGAAATCATTAAAGAAATGAAAGCCATGACACAGATTGGAAGAAATGATTCTCAATACACACATATAAAAAATGTACTTGTATCAAGAATATGTAAAGAACTGTCACAACTCAAAGACAAGATAAACAACTCAATAGTAAATGAGCAAAATATTCGAAAAGATACTTAGCCAAAAAAGATATACCAATGGCCAATAAGCACATAAAAAGATGTTCAGAATTATTGGCCATCAGAAAAATGCAAACTAAAGCTACAGTGATATACCACTATTCATCCATCGGAATGCCTTGAAAAATGAAACATACTAACAGTATAAAATGTTGGCAAAGATATGGTACATCTGTAATTCTCACACATTGCTGGAGGGAAAGTACAATGGTACACACACTTTGAAAAACAATGTTACAATTTCTTATAAAGTCAAGCATGTAGTTATCATTTATCTGGCAATTCTACACCTAGGAATTTACCTAAGAAAAATGAAAGTATATATCCACATAAACCTTTGTTTATGAAATTTGTAGCAACTTTACTCATAATAGTGCCAAACTGAAAACAACCTGAATGTCCATCAAATAGAGACTAAATAAGTAAGCTATGGTATAGCCATAGAGTGGAATATTTCTCAGCAATAAAGAAAAATAAAAAGGAATACACAACACGCAAGAATCTCAAATATATTATTTGTGCAGCAAAAGAGCCATTCAAAAAAAAAAAAAAAAAGGATATACTGTGAGATTCCATTTACTTGGAATTCTAGAAAATGCAAAATAAACTTTGGAGACAGAAAGCAGACAAGTGATTTCCTAGGGCCAGGAGTGAGGTAGGATTGATTGCAAAGAGACATAATGAATATTAGCATAAGAGTAGCACAAGACGAGGCAGGGAGTTTCAGACCTGAGCATATGTCCGAGAGCAAGCCATGCCAAAACTTGCTGGATTCAAACCACAACAGCTTATTATTCTCAGTGTTGGCTTGAACTGTGGCAGGGTGAAGCTCAGTGTTTCCTCTGCTTCATGCGATTGTATCTGGGGTGATTCATGTGGCTGGATTCAATGGGTAGCTCAGCTGGGAGCTGCAACATGCAAGGCCTTTGTCTCTCAGGGCCACTTTCCACATCATTCAGTGTTTAGTCTGGACTTTCCTACATCGTGGTGGCTAGACAACAGTTTAGTTCATCTTTTCATCTAGCCCTTGCTTTATCCCTTCAGCCCATTCCCTAAACTCCAAAGAAACATAAGACACAAGACCTGCTCATGAAGTTCTTTCTAGCTCCTCTGCTTACCTTCTACCCATCAACATTTTTCTCATCTTATAATGCCATCTCAACTAGCACTTTCTTGATGAAGTCTAGGTCATTTTCACATACCCTTTAATAGCAGCACCTCAGTTACTTCTTGGCTCTCCACAGAATGCTATTTGTCCCCCTGTCTTGGTTTATCTTGTTGTGTGTTTTTCATTCTGTCTTCCGCCTTGTGTTTTGTTCAGCTGTTTAATTGCTCTAGGAAAAGCCTGGCTTTACCCCATGAGTACTATTCTGGGAACTACTTTTGTGTGGTCTTGAGAACATCTTCTCTTCAGACACATGTCCTATTTAGGTGTCTCAACTTTCATAAGAGAATGTCAACTCTTTCCATTTGGACTGACCAATGAAACATATGAAATTGAGCACTGTAAAATAATTTGTACTTCAAATTCTTGTCAGAGGTTATAACCTACAAATCTCTGCTACCTAGAACCTATCAAAAGCTCACTTATCAAAAGTAATATAGATGGAGAATCGCCTGAAGGATATGCAGTCCATCCTTTCTCTAGACACATTCAATTTTATTCCTGGATTAAGCCAAACCAAGAGAGAACTGCAGCCTGAAATACTTTTGTTTTAGTTTCCTAGAGAATTGCTTTAATGGAATTGCTCTCAGCATTATGCCATAGGCTTTCATTTTGAAGGACATTATGAGGAAAAGCCTTTTTACCTTTTTGCCAATAAATTCAAAAATCTAGATGAAATAGGTGATTCTAAAAAATTGTGAATTATTAAAATGGACTCAAGTGGAGTCAGAGAAACATGAATAGACTGATGACCATGACCAAGGAGGGAATTGTGAAGATGGCTGAAGATCTATTCTCCACTAGAGCTAAGCCCATTTGTTTTTTTTAGTCGTTATCTACTGTGTTTATTTAGCTAGCAATTGTGTGTCTCTCCCTATCTTATTCTCTGTTTTTTTTTTCTTTTTTTTTTTTTTTGGTATAAATACTATGCCGTCCTTTGGGGATGGATCCTCTCCTACCCCAATTATATGATACTATGATAGCAGAAAACAATTGTACACTGACTCAGGTATGTTTGAGTATAGTAGCCTATATCCTTGTATATATTAATCCAAGGTGGGGCAGGTGACCCAACAAAGTTAATTGAGTCCTGTCTTGTAATATGTAGTATTGTATTTATGGGAAAAGGTCTCTTCTGGGTTGCTAAATGGCAATGGTGTAAGCCTAGAACTGGGTATGGTCACAGCTACCCTCTCCCACATAGATGAAGCTGATCTGCAATAAGAGAGAGAGAACTCAGAGAGGGATAGGGGGGTGGGGTTGGTATACAGTGACAAAGACAGACACACACACACACATACACACACAGTTAGAAACCTCTGACTGACCAAGAAATGGAGACTGAGACAGGCAGAGATGCATAAGGCATAGAACTTAGACGCAGACATAGAAATAAAGAAAAAGAGGAAAAGAGAAAGATCGAACATTGTCTATCAGTGCTACTCCTGTCCTTCCTACATGTGAGATAATAATTTTTTTAAATTTCTTTTTTTTTTTTTTGCTAAAGCTAATTTTATTTAGTCATCTTTCACTTGCAGGTGAAATACTTCTGACCCAAATTGTTTTATTGGTGAATTAAAATAATAATTAAGGAACAGATAATTCCTTTGTTCTTTTTGCTATTCCAAAGCAGAGGGAAAAACACCCATAACATTTTTCCACCTGTTTTATAAGGCTAGTGTAACTATGATATAAAAACTGAAAAGTCACAGCACATGAAAACAACGAGTATAAGACTATAGATGCATATATCCTAAATGTAACCAGAAGACATCTATCTCTTTATCCTCACAGGCTGGTTCCATTTGGCCCTGAATTATTCACTGCAGATCTTACCCTCTTCTCTGGTTTGCACAGAAAACTCAGTCACGTTGTCCCTGTCCAGACAGACAAGGTTTTGCTGTGGTAATAAATAAACCCAAGTTCTCAATGGTTTTAAACAATGAAAGCCTATTTCTTGCTTGCTCTTCCCAGGGTCAGCTGGGGATTTCCTCACTGAGGACTATACAGGCTTTCAGAGTATCAACCATTTGGCACATTACTTAGTGATTGCTACAAAAGGAAGGAAACATGGAGGATATTTGAGCTCTTGAAGCATATCACAGAGATGATATACTTAATATTCATTTACATGTCACTGGCCAAGGGAAGTCACATGTCTGCATCTATCTTTTAAAGGTTGATTAAGAGCAATCCTACTTTCACTCCAGAAGTAGAAAGAACTGGAATATTTGCAAACATTCTTAATGATTACCAGAAAACTCTTTCCTTCCTTCCTTCCTTCCTTTCTTCCTTCCTTCCTTCCTTCCTTCCTTCCTCCTTCTTTCTCTCTTTTTCTCCCTTTCTCTCTTTCTTTCTCTCTCCCTTCCTTCCTTCCTTCCTTCCTTCCCTCCTTCCTTCCTTCCTTCCTTCCTTCCTTCCTTCCTTTCTCTCTCTCTCTCTCTCTCTCTCTCTCTCTCTCTCTCTCTTTCTTTCTCTTTCTTTCTTTCTTTCTTTTTTATACTTTAAGTTCTAGGGTACATATACCCAATGTGCAGATTTGATACATAGGTATACATGTGCCATGTTGGTTTGCTGCACCCATCAACTCATCATTTACATTAGGTATTTCTCCTAATGCTGTCCTCGCCGAGACCCCTACCCCCCCGACAGGCCCCAGTGTGTGATGTTCCCCACCCTGTGTCCCTGTGTCTAAGTGTTCTCATTGTTCAATTCCCATCTATGAGTGAGAACATGTGGCATTTGGTTTTTTGTCCTTGTGATAGTTTGCTGAGAATGATGGTTTCCAGCTTCATCCATGTCCCTGCAAAGGACATGAACTATTTTTATGGCTGCATAGTATTCCATGGTGTATATGTGCCACATTTTCTTAATCCAGTCTATCATTGATGGACATTTGGGTTGGTTCCAAGTCTTTGCTATTGTGAATAGTGCCACAATAAACATACTTGTGCATGTGTCTTTA
This sequence comes from Homo sapiens, assembly GCF_000001405.40. Lineage (NCBI taxonomy): Eukaryota > Metazoa > Chordata > Mammalia > Primates > Hominidae > Homo > Homo sapiens. Next base: position 77,090,910 of record NC_000012.12, read on the forward strand.
TGGCAGCATGATTTATAATTTTTTGGGTATATTTATATTTTGGGGTATATTTAAAATTTATAATTTTTTGGGTATATATCCCAGGAATGGGAACACTGGGTCAAATGGTATTTCTAGTTCTAGATCCTTGAGGAATCTCCACACTGTCTTCCATAATGGTTGAACTAATTTACACTCCCACCAACAGTGTAAAAGCGTTCCTATTTCTCCACACCCTTTCAAGCATCTGTTGTTTCCTGACTTTTTAATGATCGCCTTTCTAACTGCTGTGAGATGGTATCTCATTGTGGTTTTGATTTGCATTTCTCTGATGACCAGTGATGATGAGCATTTTTTCATGTCTGTTGGCTGCATAAATGTCTTCTTTTGAGAAGTGTCCATATCCTTTGCCTACTTTTTGATGGGGTTGTTTGATTTTTCTTGTAAATTTGTTTGAGTTCTTTGTAGATTCTGGATATTAGCCCTTTGTCAGATGGGTAGATTGCAAAAATTTTCTCCCATTCTGTAGGTTGCCTGTTCACCCTGATGGTAGTTTCTTTTGCTGTGCAGAAGCTCTTTAGTTTAATTAGATCCAATTTGTCAATTTTGGCTTTTTTTGCCATTGCTTTTGGTGTTTCAGTCATGAAGTCATGAAGTCCTTGCCCATGCCTATGTCCCGAATGGTATTGCCTAGGTTTTCTTCTAGGGGTTTTATGGTTTTAGGTCTAACATTTAAGTCTTTAATCCATCTTGAATTAATTTTTATATAAGGTTTGAGGAAGGGATCCAGTTTCAGCTTTCTACATATGGCTAGCCAGTTTTCCCAGCACCATTTATTAAATAGGTTTGTTTTTGTCAGGTTTGTCAAAGATCAGATGGTTGTAGATGTGTGGTGTTATTTCTCAGGGCTCTGTTCTGTTCCATTGGTGTATATCTCTGTTTTGGTAACAGTACCATGCTGTTTTGGCTACTGCAGCCTTGTGGCATAATTTGAAGTGATGTAGCGTGATGCTTCCAGCTTTGTTCTTTTTGCTTAGGACTGTCTTGGCAATGTGGGCTCTTTTTTGGTTCCATATGAACTTTAAAGTAGTTTTTTCCAATTCTGTGAAGACAGTAATTGCTAGCTTGATGGGGATGGCATTGAATCTATAAATTACCTTGGGCAGTATGGCCATTTTCAGTACATTGATTCTTTCTATCCATGAGCATGGAATGTTCTTCCATTTGTTTGTGTCCTCTTTTATTTCGTTGAACAGTGGTTTGTAGTTCTCCTTGAAGAGGTCCTGCACATCCCTTGTAAGTTGGATTTCTAGGTATTTTATTCTTTTTGTAGCAATTGTGAATGGGAGTTCACTCATGATTTGGCTCTCTGTTATTGGCGTATAGGAATGCTTGTGATTTTTGCACGTAGATTTTGTATCCTGAGACTTTGCTGAAGTCGCTTATCAGCTTAAGGAGATTTTGGGCTGAGATGATGGGCTTTTCTAAATATACAATCATGTCATCTGCAAACAGAGACAGTTTCACTTCCTCTCTTTCTATTTGAATACCCTTTATTTCTTTCTCTTGCCTGATTGCCCTGGCCAGAACTTCCAACACTATGTTGAATAGGAGTGGTGAGAGAGGTATCCTTGTCTTGTGCTGGTTTTCAAAGGGAATGCTTCCAGTTTTTGCCCATTCAGTTTGATATTGGCTGTGGGTTTGTCATTAATAGCTGTTATTATTTTGAGATATGTTCCATCAATACCTAGTTTATTGAGAGTTTTTAGCATGAAGGGCTGTTGAATTTTGTTGAAGGCCTTTTCTGCATCTATTGAGATAATCATGTGGTTTTTGTTGTTGGTTCTGTTTATGTGATGGGTTATGTGTATTGGTTTGTGTATGTTGAACCAGCCTTGCTTCCCAGGGATGAAGCCAACTTCGTCGTGGTGGATAAGCTTTTTGATATGGTGCTGGATTCAGTTTGCCAGTATTTTATTGAGGATTTTTGCATCGATGTTCATCAGGGATATTGGTCTAAAAGTCTCTTTTTTTGTTGTGTCTCTGCCAGGCTTTGGTATCAGGATGATGCTGGCCTCATAAAATGAGTTAGCAAGGTTTCCCTCTTTTTCTATTGATTGGAATAATTTCAGAAGGAATGGTACCAGCTCCTTGTTGCACCTCTGGTAGAATTTGGCTATGAATCTGTCTGGTCCTGGACTTTTTTTGGTTGGTAAGCTATTAATCATTGCCTCAATTTCAGAGCCTGTTGAATTCAGAGATTCAACTTCTTCCTGGTTTAGTCTTGGGAGGGTGTATGTGTCCAGGAATTTATCCACTTCTTCTAGATTTTCTAATTTATTTGCGTGGAGGTGTTTATAGTATTCTCTGATGGTAGTTTGTATTTCTGTGGGATTGGTGGTGATATCCCCTTTATCATTTTTTATTGTGTCTATTTGATTCTTCTCTCTTTTCTTCTTTATTAGTTTTGCTAGTGGGCTATCAGTTTTGTTGATCTTTTCAAAAAGCCAGCTCCTGGATTCATGGATTTTTTTGAAGGGTTTTTTGTGTCTCTATTTCCTTCAGTTCTGCTCTGATCTTAGTTATTTCTTGCCTTCTGCTAGCTTTCGAATGTGTTTGCTCTTGCTTCTCTAGTTCTTTTAATTGTGATGTTAGGGTGTCAATTTTAGATCTTTCCTGCTTTCTCTTGTGGGCATTTAGTGCTATACATTTCCCTCTACACACTGCTTAAAATGTGTCCCAGAGATTCTGGTACATTGTATCTTTGTTCTCATTGGTTTCAAAGAACATCTTTATTTCTGCCTTCATTTTGTTATTTACCCAGTTGTCATTCAGGAGCAGGTTGTTTAGTTTCCATGTAGTCGTGCAGTTTTGGGTGAGTTTCTTAATCCTGAGTTCTAATTTGATTGCACTGTGGTTTGAGAGATTGTTGTGATTTCTATTCTTTTACATTTGCTGAGGAGTGCTTTACTTCCCACTATGTGGTCAATTTTGGAATAAGTGTGATGTGGTGCTAAGAAGAATGTATATTCTGTTGATTTGGGGTGGAGAGTTCTGTAGATATCTATTAGGTCCACTTGGTGCAGAACTGAGTTCAAGTCCTGGATATCCTTGTTAACCTTTTGTCTCGTTGATCTGTCTAATATTGACAGTGGGGTGTTAAAATCTCTCACTATTATTGTGTGGGATTCTAAGTCTCTTTGTAAGTCTCTAAGGACTTGCTTTATGAATCTGGGTGCTCCTGTATTGGGTGCATATATATTTAGCATAGTTAGCTCTTCTTGTTGAATTGATCCCTTTACCATTATGTAATGGCCTGCTTTGTCTCTTTTGATCTTTGTTGGTTTAAAGTCTGTTTTATCAGAGACTAGGATTGCAACTCCTGCTTTTTTTTGCTTTCCTTTTGCTTGGTAGATCTTCCTCCATCCCTTTATTTTGAGTCTATGTGTGTCTCTGCATGTGAGATGGGTCTCCTGAATACAGCACACTGATGGGTCTTGACTCTTTACCCAGTTTGCCAGTCTGTCTCTTTTAATTGGGGCATTTAGCCCATTTACATTTAAGATTAATATTTTTATATGTGAATTTGATCCTGTCATTATGATGTTAGCTGATTATTTTGCCTGGTAATGGATGCATTTTCTTCATAGCATCAATAGTTTTTACAATTTGGCATGCTTTTGCAGTGGCTGGTATCAGTTGTTTCTTTCCATGTTTAGTGCTTCCTTCAGGAGCTCTTGTAAGGCAGACCTGGTGGTGACAAAATCTCTCAGCATTTGCTTTTCTGTAAAGGATTTTATTTCTCCTTCACTTATGAAGCTTAGTTTGGCTGGATATGAAATTGTGGGTTGAAATTTCTTTTCTTTAAGAATGTTGAATATTGGCCCCCACTCTCTTCTGGCTTGTAGGGTTTCTGCCGAGAGATCTGCTGTTAGTCTGATGGGCTTCCCTTTGTGGGTAACTCAACCTTTCTCTCTGGCTGCCCTTAACATTTTTTCCTTCATTTCACCCTTGGTGAATCTGACAATTATGTGTCTTGGGGTTTCTCTTCTTGAGGAGTATCTTTGTGGTGTTCTCTGTATTTCCTGAATTTCAATGTTGGCCTGCCTTGCTAGGTTGGGGAAGTTCTCCTGGATAATATCCTGAAGAGTGTTTTTCAACTTGGTTCCATTCTCCCCATAAGTTTCAGGTACACCAATCAAATGTAGATTGGTCTTTTCACATAGTCCCATATTTCTTGGAGGCTTTATTCATTTCTTTTTACTCTTTTTTCTTTAACCTTGTCTTCTCACTTCATTTCATTAATTTGATCTTCAATCACTGATACCCTTTCTTCCACTTGATTGAATCAGACATTGAAGCTTGTGCATGTGTCATGAAGTTCTTGTGCCATGGTTTTCAGCTCCACCATGTCATTTAAGTTCTTCTCTACACGGGCTATTCGAGTTAGCCATTCGTCTAACCTCTTTTCAAGGTTTTTAGCTTCCTTGCAATGGGTTAGAACATGCTCCTTTAGCTCAGAGAAGTGTGTTACTACTGACCTTCTGAAGCCTACTTCTGTCAGCTCATCAAAGTCATTCTCCGTCCAGCTTTGCCCCATTGCTGGCAAGGAGCTGCGATCCTTTGGAAGAGAAGAGGAGTTCTGGTTTTTATAATTTTCAGCTCTTCTGCTCTGGTTTCTCCCCATCTTTGTGGTTTTATCTACCTTTAGTCTTTGATGTTGGTGACCTACAGATGGGGTTTTAGTGTAGATTTCCTTTTTGTTGATGTCGATGCTATTCCTTTCTGTTGTTAGTTTTCCTTCTAATAGTCAGGTCCCTCAGCTGCAGGTGTGTTGGAGTTTGCTGGAGGTCCACTCCAGACCCTGTTTGCCTAGGTATCACCAGCGGAGGCTGCAGAACAGCAAATATTGCTGCCTAATCCTTCCTCTGGAAGCTACTTCCTAGAGGGGCAGCCACCTATATGAGGTGTCTGTCAGCCCCTACTGGGAGGTGTCTCCCAGTTAGGCTACATGGGGGTCAGGGACCCACTTGAGGAGGCCGTATGTCTGTCCTCAGAGCTCAAACGCCATGCTGGGAGAAGCACTGCTCTCTTCAGGGCTGTCAGACAGGGACGTTTAAGTCTGCAGAAGTTTCTGCTGCCTTTTGTTCAGCTATGCCCTGCCCACAGAGGTGGAGTCTATAGAGGCAGTAGGCCTTGCTGAGCTGCGGTGGGCTCCGCCCAGTTTGAGCTTCCTGGCCACTTTTTTTTTACCTACTCGAGCCTCAGCAATGGCTGATGGCCCTCCCACTGCTAGGCTGCTGCCTCACAGGTCAATCTCAGACTAATGCACTAGCGGTGAGCAAGGCTCCGTGGGCATGGGACCCACTGAGCCAGGCACAGGAGAGAATGTCCTTGTCTGTCAGTTGCTAAGATCTTGGGAAAAGCACAGTATTTGGGTGAAAATGTCTTGTTTTTCCAGGTACAGTCTATCACGGCTTCCCTTGGCTAGCAAAGAGAAACCCCTTGACCCCTTGTGCTTCCCAGGTGAGGCAATGCCCCTCCCTGCTTCCGCTTGCCCTCCGTTGGCTGCACTCACTGTCAAACCAGTCCCAATGAGATGAACCAGGTACCTCAGTTGGAAATGCAGAAATCACCTGTCTTCTGTGTCAATCACGCTGGGAGCTGCAGACCGGAGCTACCCCTATTTGGCCATCTTGGAACAGCCAGAGTGCTCTTTTCTATTCACCAATTATTTGGTTAGCTTTGCTTTCTACATTCAAAATACAACTGTCCCCATTGTAAGGGAGACTCAAAATTTGCATAGTGTAACAAGACCATACTCAACATCCAGGATCTCTGGGTGATGTGTGATGGTCTTTTCATGAAGACAAAGTAATGCCTAATAGTCTCTATCAGGCGTGGGATGTGGTTGCTTTTCATCTGGAAACTTATGAATTAAAATGTTATCTGCCCTTCACATACTCAGTATACACAGGTGTTGGGCAACTCAATAAACACTTTTAGAGGAATAGGAAAAGAGCCTGTTTTTTGGATGTGGGAGTTATTCCTTGATCAAGTCCTGATTTGCATCTCTTGACCATTATTCTTCATTGTTCCTAGCTTCTATCTCTAAGAAATGCTTCCTTTTTTTGATTATTGTCTTCAGTGACATCTGCAATGAATATTGGGGACTATGGCTTTTATTGGGGCAATTGGCTTTATCAGTCTGTTTTCTGTCAATAGAAGATTGGAGTCTATGGTTGTCTTAAATATAGAATAGTTATAATCATTTTCAGTCCAAATTGTTGGTACTTTTGCCGTACAAATCACTTAAAGACATGGATTGCTTATTTCCTATTAGATTTCAGTAAGCTCCATGTGCCAATAGGTGTAGCCACAATTCTTTTCAGGACATAATTCTGATAATTGCTATATGCCTTGTTTACTTGATCTCATGCCAAATGATTTCTCACTGTACAGCATGGGTTTTCATCTTTTCATGATCTAGCATTGTTTTCTTCACCAACTATTTTCCATTTCTTAATACAATGCCAAATATTTTATTTTTTTAAAATGTAGTAACAGTCTATGCTATCACTTTCCTTATCCATTAGGATAGACTGGGTTATGCTGTGATAACAATCTACAAATTTTGGTGGTCTAAGACAGCAAAGATTTTTTTTCCCACTCACACTATGCTTATCACAGGTTGACTATGGGTTGTGTTCTATATTGTCCTCCCTCAGGGACATAGGTTGTTAGAGATGCTATTATCTTGAACATGCCTGTATTAGTCTGTTCTCATGCTGCTAATAAAAACATACCCAGAACTGGGTAATTTATAAAGGTAAGAGGCTTAATTGACTCACAGTTCCACATGGCTGGGGAGGCCTCACAATCATGGCAAAAGTCGAAGGGGAAGCAAGACATGGCTTACATGGAGGCAGGCGAGAGACAGCATGTGCAGGGGAACTGCCCTTTATAAAACTGTCAGATCTCATGAGACTTACTCACTTATGAGAACAGTGTGGGAAAAACCTGCCCCTATAATTCAATTACCTTCCACCAGGTCCCTCTCACAACACGTGGGGATTATTACAATTTGAGGTGAGATTTGGGTGCGGACCTAGAGCCAAACCATATCAATGCCAGCAGCCATGTCAGGGGAAAGAGAGTGTGGGAAGCACACAGGTGCTTCAAGCTTCTGTCTAGAAATGACCTATGTCACTTCCACTTACATTTATTGATGAACGCAAGTCATAGCTAATTTTAAGAGGTTGAGAAAATTAAATTCTACCATATGTCTGAAAGGACAGAGAAATAGAGTATCAGTGAACACATCCAATGGATAGCATACACACACACACACACACACACACACACACACACACACATCCCAACATTAATAACCTTTGTGGAATTTGTTGAAAATTTGTGGGGACCAAAAGAGGAATTATATCATATTGTATATAGAATTTTGCTAGAAAAATCCTCATCTGAAATTTCTCTTTTTCCTACTTCGTTTTCTATGGTGGTAATGCTTTGTTTTTCTCTTCTTCTTCCCTCATGCAGCCTCCAGCCTCACTGGCTCTACTCACTTTGTCCCTCTCAGTTTTTCTATTTGGGACTTAAAATTCCACACTCCTTCATCACAGGAAACAAGTTCCATTATCCTTGTTATTTGCACATCCCCTCAAGGTCTTATATACCACCCCAAGAGGCTTTTGAAGCATTTCTTCTGAATAAATATAGTGCTTTCTCTAATAAGAATTCTGGTGGATGCAATTTTCTCCATCTTATTACATTAATAATATATTAGCAAGTCAAATATAGCATTACCATGTAGGTTTTGTTTCAGATATGAAAGATGGTTTAGCATGGTTTCATTTCATATTTATGAAGATACATATCTTTATATTAATAGATTTAAAGAAACTACCTATGTGATCATCTAGATCTGCTCTGAACATACCCAGAACTGGGTAATTTGTAAAGGAAAGAGGCTTAATTGACTCACAGTTCCTCTGACTTCACAGCTGTGTCCAAAATGGTAGACACTAGCCATATGTGGCTCTTTCCATTGAAATTTGAATGGTTGAAATTAGGTTATTTAAAAAATTTCATTTCTCATTCCTATTAGCCACTTTTAAGTGCTCAGTAGCCACATGTGACTAGTAGTTACGGTACAAACACAGATAATGGGTGCTTCCATCATTGGGGAAAGTTCTATTGGATAGTTTTGCTATAAATCAATGCTGCAGAGTCATTTGATAAAAGTAATGGTCATTCCTGATAAAAAACTTATAGGCCGGGAACCATGGCTCATGCCTGTAATCCCCACACTTTGGGAGGCCGAAGCTGGAGGATCACGAGGTCAGGAGATTGAGACCAGCTTGGCTAACATGGTGAAACCCCGTCTCTACTAAAAATACAAAAAATTAGCCATGCATGGTGGCTGGCGCCTGTAGTCCCAGCTACTTGGGAGGCTGTGGCGAGAGAATCGCTTGAACCCGGGAGGTGGAGGTTGCGGTGAGCCAAGATTACGCCGCTGCACTCCAGCCTGGGTGAAAGAGCAAGGCTCCATCTCAAACAAACAAACAAACAAACAACAACAACAACAACAACCAACAAAAAACAAACAAACTTATAGTAAATTAGGGTTAGAAGGAAACTTTCTTGATATGAGAAACAGTATACATAAAAACCAATGGTAAATATAATAAGTAGTAAAATACAAGTGGCATTACATTATATTCAGGACAGAGGATGACCATTACTATCACAACTATGTCCATTAGAATTAGGTTTGGTTTTGATTAAAATAATTTTGTTTCTCCCTCTTTTCAAGAACACTGAAGAAAGGCAGTAAAGGGTGGCAAAGTGGGTCTAATCCATTGCCTATCCGGGGACCCAGATTCATTCTATCACTGCTAGGGTGTGGTCTTCATTCTCATATTTCAAGGAATAATTCAAGTTCAGCATATCCTTATTTAATTCAGAAGGGCGGGGAAAAATATGAGGACAAAGAACAAAGGAGGCCTAAGTCATATCTGCTGTTTTGTATATAATGCTTGTGGAAGTTACGGCATGATAGTTTTGCTGGCATTAGCCAGTAATTGGTCACATGGCCACACTTTGTTGCAAGGAATGTTGAAAAGTGTAGCTTTAATCTGATTAGCCATGTGCTTATCTAAAAACTAGGGTTTTCTATGAGTAAAGAATGGATACTAGGGAACAGCTAATACTTTCTGCCTTACTACCTTATTTAATATTGTTCTGGAAGTCTTAATCCAAACAATAAAATAGAAAAACAAAGAAGTACAAATATTGGAAAGAAACAGATGCAATTATGTTTCTTTTCAGAAGATATAATTAAATGTTCCAAAATCCAATTGAGTTAACTGAAAATCTATTAGAAACAAATAAGATAACTCAGTAAGATGTGGGAAATAAGATACAAAAATCAAGAGGTTTTCAATGATGTTTTAACCCATGAGAGACTAGAAATAGAATGAAAACATATGGAAATAAAAATGTAATTCCTATAGATAAATAAGAAATGACTGTAACTCATGTGATGAAAACTATAACATTTTATTGAAAGGCATAAAAAGAAAACTGAGGTAAATGAAGAATCATGGCAAGTTCCTGGATGGGATGATTTAGTGTTGTAAAGACATTAGTTCTCCCCAAATCTGTAAATTTCATATAATTCCACTCAAAATGTATTTTTTAAGTTGATAAGTTAATGGTGAAATTTATGTTAATGATTGACTGTGTTAGAACAGCAAGAAAACTGAAAATGAACAATGAAGGGTATGTGCCCTGGTAGATGTCAAAACGTACTATAAAACTATGGTAATTAAAAGTGTAACACCAAGGTGGGAGGATCACTTGAGCCCAGGAGTTCAAGACTAGCCTAGGCAACATATTGAGACCTTGTCTCAATTTTTTATTAAAAAAAGTGTGATAGCAGCTGAGAGATTGTTAAGGGGACAAACTAGAGTCCAGGACAAGGTATATGTGGCAGATGAGAGCAAGGTAGTGTGTGGTGGAGTGCACAGATTCTGGAACCACACTGTCAAGGTACAAAGCACAGCTTTGCCACTTAACGGTTTGTGACCCTGGACAAATTATTAAGCCCTCCGTATTTCAAATTTCTCATCTAAAAATTAGGGATAAAGTGGTCCAAACCATTTACAGTTGCTGTAGGGACAATAAATGTAAAGCATTTAGAACATTGCCTGGCCTGTTGTAAACACCGAAAAAGTGTTAGCTAATGTTAATGCTAGAATTTAATATATAATAAACATGACACTAAAATCAGTGCAGCATGAAGGTACTATATAATGCATAGTGTTGGGGCAATTGGCTTGCCATTTGGAGAGAAAGAAAGAAAAGAAGAGAAGAAAGGAAGAAAGAAGAAAGGAAAGAAAAAAAGGAAGAAAAAAGAAAGGAAGAAATTAGAACTCTGACTCACATTCATTATAAATTAAACAGTATAGATTAAATACTTAATTATAAAAATTATTATAAAAGTACTGGGAAGGTGAAGAAGAATATAAAAAGTATTCTCTGTGCGTGTAAAGTCTTTTCATATATTATTCCAATTTTTAGCGTGATACCAATGCAACAAGCCAGGAAAGAAAACATTGGCAGTTGTTACTTTCAATCAAAAAGGACATTGAGATAGGATGAAGGGTAGGGTGGTGGGGGTATGAGGCAGTAGTTAGGCAGATGAGAGACGGTGCATCAGAACAAGTTTGTTTAAAAGCAATAAATATCTTTTATGTCTTAATTTTTTTTATACACTGTGCCGCATATATGGTTTAGATTTTCATTTTGAAATGTGGCCCTTTGGTAGCAGAAAATGCCAATGAACATAATAGCTTTTACTTTTTAATTTTCAGGAATATTTACTTATGCAAGTAAGTGTTAAATGATTGCTTCTTCTTTGAACTGTGTATTCAGGAGATGCTTACAGCTTTAAAAATTAGATGATAATGATGGGGAAAACATAGCCATTATAAATCAAATGTGTAAGATAGCAATATTAGAGCACCTTGGCTGTTCCAGATTCTAAACTGGAAGTGGGTTGTTTCATGAAAGAAAGAGGACAATATCGTTTTTTACATCATAATTGTTTTTATAACGCACGTTTGTGTTGGAAATAACCATTGCAACTCTCCTTTTTTAGCTTTATAGTAAATGTTATACTTAGAAAATTACCTAAATATAAAAAATTATAGTAAAAAGGACACAGCTTGATATTGCATTGACTACACGCCATTCATTATGATGAGAGCTATAAAAATGTAGACTCTACAAGGTATAGTTTTTATGCAAAAATTGATATAGCAGGTTGAAGATGTATTTGGCAAATAGCTACTGACTTTTAAATTTAGAAACATTAAGATTTATTGTGTCAATCTGGCTGCCACCCATATTGTGCAATATTTAAAGCTCTGAATTAAAACTCTGTAAGATGAGCAAGTGATGATATACAACATAAAATCGTCATTATAGAAAAATCAGACCACTTGGGTTTTTTTTCCTCTCAAATGCCCAAGAGTTTAAATCCTATGTGAAACATTAATGGACTTCTATTTTCACTTAAAAATGCTCTCTGAGGATTATCAGAACATCAAAGTGACTGTAGCTACTAATAGGTATTTTCTTTAGCTGTGGAATGTGAAAAAAAGCTGATTTCTTTTTTTGAAATAAAAGTTGTAAGCAAGACCATTTTGTATATTTGATATCCTCTGGTTTATGAAAGGATCCAAACAAGTTCAGTCTCCCCGCCCCATCAGATGAGTTCTTCATATAATTCATTCCCTGTGAGTTCCAAAGGGAAAGAATTAGGTGTCCTGTGTTGCTAATTAGAGCTGCTAATGTATTAATGCACTTCTGAGAGCATTGCTTTCCTAAACTCTCACCCAGACAAATTAGACACTTACTAGTGATGTGATCATCTTATTCATCCCTCTCTTGCCTTCTTCCTCTTCCAAATAAATATGAAGTTTTGCAGAGTGAGTCACATCATGATAAGCATTGTGGCAGTTGTTACTGTTTTTGTATTGGGAGAAGCTTCCATTTCTTCAGCATATCAAATCTGCTTCTCAGGCTCAACACCCTTGAAGTGGCATCCAGGTATTTATTCAAAGGCTGTGTGCATTGCGGTAATCTCCACTTCTCAAAAAAAAAAAAAAAAAAAAAAAAGTGGGGGCGGGGCAATAAATGAGCATGAACTCTTCTCTTGTAAGTCACATCTCTAAGCTTTCTCCAAACAATAACCATCAGAATGGGCAATTAACCTCCCATCTTTTTGCCCTAATGAATTTCAGCTTTCTTCAGTGTGGGTGCACTATGAGGCAGCATGAGACTTTTCAATATTGCCATTAACTGTGGCCAATCGTGTCTCTTTCACTTTCAAGCAATGTCCCTTTCCCTTTTGGACTCTGCCTCCTGTCCATACTACCATCTAAACACTTTCTGACTGTCATTCAATCTAGGTCACTCCTTCTCATTTGTTGAGGGTGTTGGCATATGGATCACCATCTTCCAAGTCACGCCATTATCCTAATTGACTTTACTATCACCATGGATGATAAATTGAACACTTTACTCTCAGAGGATCTTGAATTTCCTATATTTCAGCTACCTATGTGGCTACCTGCTGGGTCCAATCAATACCACCTCTGAAATCTTTAACTCAGTCTTTGTCCCTAATTCAGTCACCCTAAACCCACTGCATTGCTTTATCTGCCTTTTCCGTTCTTTTATTCTATCCTCTTAATTCAGTTCTTCCCTGTGGTCTTAACAATTCTAGTCTCTTTTATGTAAAAATAACTTCTTCCCTGATCACAAGTGAGCCTCTAGCTGTCTCCTTGTGTCTTCCATTCACTTCTGCATCAAATGCCTCACAAGAATTATCTTTATTTTCTGCCTTGACTCATTCTGTGGGAGTCAGGCAACTGATTCCATCATGTCAATGAGATTGCCCTGGCCATCATCTCCTAACCATTCTCCAAGGGACTGTTTTCAGACTTCATTATAGTTCATCTCTCTGCAGCATTTGGCCTACAATCAACTTTTCTTCCCTGGTTTCTGTGGCACAATTCTGTCAGAATCCTCTCATGATTTCTTTTCAGTCTCCATTGCCAGTTCCTCTTCTTGTTCCCACCCTAAGATGTAAATAATCTATTCTTCTCTTCTTTTTGTAAGTGCTCAGCCTGGACATCTCATCTTCTCCTATGACTTCTATCTATAGGCTGAAAATCCATGAACTCAAAAGAGGTGAATAAATGAATAATTACTTTTAAAATAATACATCTTGTCTTAAGAAGATTTAAAATGGTTAAGAAGGGTACAAACATCTACTGAGTAGTACAAAATTAGTATGAGGTAAAAGAAAAAAAAATAAGGGTGAAGACAAAATATAACCCAAGTAGAGTGCAGCTAAATGTGAGTACTAAATTTGAAAATTCTAAGCTTTTGAGAAGCCAATGAGAAGAGGGTGACATCTCATCATGGTTACACATCCAATTGTCTAGAAATATAACCATTCTTGCTACTGAGATGAACAAAGGTTTCTCTCAGGGTGGGGTGAGGAGACCTCCACATGATATGAATCACATCCTCCATGCCATCCTTCCAGAAGATGCACTCATGAGTTCTCAGGGTCTGTATCTTATAAACATCTTCCATTTAGGATATAGATATGAATAAGATTAAATTTAGTTAAAGCAATTCAGTTATAGGCCAATATAACATGGTCTCTGTTCCTACGGGAATGTTGTAGAATATGTTTTTTATTTTACTTAACTTAGGATGTCTTGAAGTGATGACAGTTTTATTGTCTTGCAAGCAATTCTCCCTAAATATTCTTTAAAACAGCTTTTGATACTTCTTGAGGACATTGAGCATGAGATTCTACTCTGTGACAAGTATTTAATCTCATATACTTATATTTCTAGCTTTATTCTAAATATTTAGTAGTTATCTGTACCTTGATATCCCACAGATATTTCACTTTCCAAAACTGGATTCATTCTTTCTCTCCAAACCGATTTCTCCTAGTCCTCTGACAGGAAATGACATCATCATGCACTCAGTGTTACTGAGAAATCTTTTGCTTTAGTCATTTGTTTCCTCATTCCTCACAGCTAATCAATACCCAAGTCCTTCTGATATGGCCTCCTTATATCTTGAGTCTGTCCCTGCTTTCTAGCTCCACTGTGCCTGTTTTAGTTCATTCCGGACCTTATCCTTTCTTGCCTGAATCTACTGTTTCATTGTCTTAACCGGCTTCTTTGGTCAAAGCCTGTCCCTTCCTCCTCTGATCCAGTTACTATGTGGTTCACCTTTGTATCTCGTGTTTATCACAGTGGCCAGCACTTAGGCAAGAAAAGTATTTTTATCAGATGGATTCATGGATGAATGAACGACTGTACACACATGTGGGTCTTATGAGGGGCACTAATATAATGCTGCTTTGTAATACTAGAATTGTTCCTATGTGCATTCCTATGTTGTCAGGATTATGGCAAATAGTTGTGCATAGTGGTATGTAACAAGTGTTGTTTCCCAGATTTAGAGCCTTCTTTTTATTTTTCATGTGGTCAAACAACTGAGGAGAAGAACAGAAAACTCTCCTCTGACACTGTTGTTAGAAGAGACTTCAAGAGGCTGGGCATGGTGGCTCATGCCAGTAATCCCAGCACTTCCCGGAAGGCCAAGGTGGGAGGATCACCTGAGGCTGGGAGTTCAAGACCAGCCTGGCCAACATACAGAAACTCTGTCTCTACTAAAAATACAAAAATTGGCCATGCATGGCGGTGGGCACCTGTAGTCCCAGCTACTCAGGAGGCTGAGGCATGAGAATTGCTTGAGCCTGAAAGGTAGAGGTTGCAGTGAGCTAAGATTGTGCCACTGCACTCCAGCCTGGGTGACAGACTGAGATCCTGTCTCAAAAAACAAAAACATCTTCTTGTGGAAGCTTAATTACCTGTCCTAATTCCTCAGCCCTTACATCTCCTTGCACTAGACACACTCATTTACAAACTCTATACTTCTACTGTTTTTTAATATATATTTATATATGTATAAAAATATATATATTTTTTTATTATACTTTAAGTTCTAGGGTACATGTGCACAACGTGCAGGTTTGTTACATAGGTATACATGTGCCATGTTGGGACAGGGAATTAAGCTTCCACAAGAAGATTCATTCCTTTTCTTAAAATGTGTCATTCTATGATAAGGGGTTAATATCTAAAATATATAAAGAACTCAAACAACTTCATAGCAAGTAAACAAATAACCCAATTAAAAAATAAGCAAAGGACCTAAATAGATATTTCCTATGGGAAGAGATACAGCTGGCTAACAAGTACATTAAAAAATGTTCAACATCACTAATTATTAGGGAAATGCAAATTAAAACCACAACGAAATATCACCTTATACCTAGCTATAGATTAGCTATTATCGTAGATTAGTTATTATCATAAAGATAAAAGATAAGTATTAGCAAGGATGTAGAGAAAAGGGAACCCTGGTATACTGCTGTTGGGGATATATCATCTAGCCATTATGAAAAATAGTATGGAAGTTCCTCAAAAAATTAAAATAGAATTACCTATATGATCCAGTGATCCCACTATAGGGTATATATCCAAAGGAAAAGAATTCAGAATGACAAAGAGATATCTGCACTCCAACATTCACTGCAGCAGTATTCACCTTGGCTAAACATACAGAATCAACCTAAGTGTTCATTGACACATAAATGGAAATGGAAAAAGAAAATATGGTATATGTACACAACCAATATTATTGAGCCTTTAAAAAGATAAAAATCTCCTAATTTGTAACAACATGGATGAATCTTGAGGATATTATGTTAAGTAAAATAAGCCAGGCTCAGGAAGACAAATACTGCATGACCTCGCTTATGTATGAAATCTAAAAAACAACAAACTCATAGAAGGAGAGAGTAGAACGGTGGTTACCAGGAGCTGAGGTGGGGTAGTGGGGTGGGATTAGAGAGATGTTTGACCAAAGGGTACAAAATTTCAGTTAGATGGAACAGTAGGTTCAAGAAATCCATTGTACAATATAATGACTACAGTTAATAACAATGTATTTTATACTTGAAAATTGCAAGGAGAGATTTTAATTGTTCTCACAACAAAAAAATAAGTATTTGAGGTAATACATATGTTAGCTTGAGTCCACTATTCTAGTGTATACATATTTCAAAACTCAATGTTGTACACCATAAGTATATATAATTTTGTGAATTAAAAATAAAATAAAATGTGACATTCAAAAAAACAAAACAAAAACAAAAACAAAAACTTCAAGAGAGGCCTATAAAGAAGGGGAAGGAGAAGGAGTTGAGTGAGCAGCCTTACAGTGGCTGTGTGGCAGCCAACAGCCCTGGCGGTGGGATATAGGAATAGAATCAGAAAAGCAGTCAAGATTTAACTAAAGACCCAGGTGTGGAGACGCTCAGGTGGAGATAAATTCACCTCTGATGGGGTGGCATTTGTTGGGAGAGGAGGAAGGGAAGGAATTTATATGAATCTTAGGAATATTGTGTGAGAATATGTGAAGGAAGCTGTAGGGAAAATGGCAAGGTAAGTACAGTATGTGAAACGGTAATTGGTGGAGGGTATAAAGCAGCATTATGAGAGGCTCTTGAAGGGAGTAATTGTGTTAAGGCACTTGATAGCTACAACCCATCATCTGCTAGAAGTAGGGTCGCTGTTGTGTTTACAACCAAGTAGAACAGTGCCATGAGTAGGCTAATAGAAGGGTGTCAGAAATGTATGCAAACTGCATTGAGGGGGAGCCCTCTTTCTCAGTTCCCATGTGAGAGGAGGGAATGAGCTAGAGTAAATTGTTTCAATAAACATCACTTTATTTATGATGCTGGTCCTGGCAACTCAGAGGTAGCAGTGCACACCCTTCAGTACTGCATCTTACCAAAGGACTGAGCTAGTCAGGAAAATAGATTTCATATGAGGTATTAACTCCTGTTACATACTCAGGCTGTGACTTACACAACAAGCTCTGTCTTAGGGGAACTGTACGCTGTTTAGCAGGGAAGATCTCTTGGAGCAAAAGCTTTTGCTGAAATCTCTTGAATCATGAAACTATTTCTTTCCACTTAAAGGCATATTGATCTCTCTCTTCCTTTCCACCATGGGAGAAGAGAAAATAAAAGGAAGTCGATGTTTCTAGCTTATTGAATATCTACTGACACTAACAATCACATCAAGAGCTAACATGTACTGAACACTCATATGTTGAGGCACTGGTCTCAGTGCTTTAGTTTATTATTTTCTTTTATTTATTTAATCCTTGAAACAACTCCATAAGGTAGGTATAATTCACCATTACCAGGACATGTCTCCTTCCAAGGCAGTGGAAAATCTTACATATCAACTCAGGGAAGATGGGGGTTGAGCAGGCCACACTGCTTCTGTGGTGCCTTTGGAGATCTAGGGAAGACTGCATTACTTAGAGCCTTGGTGTACTCATCTGTAAATTGCAGATATAATAGCTATCTTGAGGAGTTATTTTGAGAATTAGAGATCATATTATATAAAGGGTCTAACACAGTGGCCAACACAGAGAAAGTACCCAATGAAAGGGAATTAATGTCATATACTTTCTGACTAAACTCTTTTCTATGCTCATATCTTAAAGTCAGAATAAAATTAATCATCACTTTTCCTTTTCCACACCCTGCTTTAAAAAAAATCTGTAGAAAAGGGAGTTCTGAAGCAGATCATAAGAGCAGCTCATAATGAAAATGAGCTGACAGAGTTCTTTCCTCTGGCTAATATATTTAAGCCACTTCTATTAAATAATATCCAGATTTCTAGCCCAAAGAGGTAATATTATAAACAAGATCTCAGTTTTCCATAAGTCCGTATCTGAATGTCCAGTAGAGACTGAATTAGAAAGAAAAGTTCCAGGAATCCAGGACTAAACCAGATTATTTTAAGTTAATATTTGACCTTCCAAGGGGCAGGGCAAACCACAAGTAAAAGAGATCAAGCCACAGGTGGTCCTGATGACATATTTCCCTAACTAAACTTGAATAATCTTAGTAGAATGAAGTGATATAGGCTGGCTTTTGATCACTTCAGATGGTCAAAGTTTATTTGGGTGCTTTTAGCAAAACAAATGGCAGAAGTGAGAAACACTGACATATGGTGGAAATGGTTCATGAAAAAACTGATAACACTACTAATTTCTGTCATTAGCATCCTGGGGAAGCTACAGAATTATTCAAGGCTTGGTCTTAATTATCTTCTAATGAAGATTTGATTTAATTTGCTCTTTGTAATCTCTCATTCTTATTTTTCTTTCCATACCTTTGCCTTGTTTTTTAATTTCAGAGTGTTAAAATACTCCATGCTTAGTGTTCTCAGTTCAGCAGCTGAGCTCTTCAGAGGAAGTTCTGTATCAATCAAATATTCCATGCTTAATGTTCTCAGTTCAGCAGCTGAGCTCTTCAGAGGAAGTCCTATATCAATCTTACAAGTACCGTAGCTACTTATGAGGGGACCCGCGTTACTGCAGCTAGTCATATTTTTATGTGCTACCTCTACTCAAGGAAAGGAATGAGGGAGGGGTTCAGAGAGAAGCAATGTGGAATCCACTTCTATAACTCTGTCCAAATACTGCTCTGTCAGTTTGCTTTAGCTTTGTTAAAAAAATAACTTTTAGGCTTTCTTTGTATTTGTTAAATTAAAATTTTCTTTCTTTTTTCTTTTTCTTTTTGAGACAGAGTGGTGCTCTGCTGCCCAGGCTGGAGAGCAGTGGTGCGATCTCGGCTTAGTGCCACCTCCACACCTTGGGTTCAAGAGATTCTCCTACCTCAGACTCCTGAGTAGCTGAGATTACAGGCATGCGCCACCACGCCTGGCTAATTTTTTATATATTCAGTAGAGATGGGGTTTCACCATGTTGGCCAGGCTGGTCTTGAACTCCTGGCCTCAAGTGATCCACCCAACTCGGCCTCCCAAAATGTTGGGATTACAGGCATGAGCCACTGCACCTGGCCTAACATTTTCTTTATGTAAAAGTACTACATTCACATTGTTCAGAGAGTCAAACAGTTCTATGAGGGTCATTAAAATAAACACCAGCCACTAATGCCTCCCACATTGCTCATTACCCAGAGATAAGCACTTTTGTCTATATTTAGATGTTTTCATTGATGCTTGATATCTGGATATCTTTAAATAACTTTAATGTATTGCTATTTCTTGCTTTTTCAGTTTTAGCCCTTATTTACTGCTTTCCTACAATGAAAGGTAACAGTTTAGCTCTTTCACTTGCCTCCCTGTCCACCCCAAATGCACGCATGTACTTCCCATCCATCCATTCTGTCATCCGCTCAATATAGTTTTATGATATTTAAACATTTGTTTGGATCTATATTTAGCATTTAAATAAGTATCCCTATACAAATGCTGGTTATACTTGAGTAATGTGTTATACTCTATGATTATTTTTTTCTTACTTGGTGATATGGTTTGGCTGTGTCCCCACCCAAATCTCATCTTGAATTGTAGCTCCCATAATCCCCACATGTCACGGGAGGGACCCAGTGGGAGGTAATTGAATCATAGGGGTGGGTTTTCCCATGCTGTTCTCATGAAAGTGAATAAATCTCATGATATCTGATGGTTTTATAAAGGGCAGTTCCCCTGCACACACTTTCTGTCTGCTGCCATGTAAGATGTGCCTCTGCTCCTCCTTCACCTTCTGCCATGATTGTGAGGCCTCCTCAGCCATGTGGAACTGTGAGTCCATTAAACATCTTTTTCTTTATAAGTTACCCCGTCTAGGGTATTTCTTCATAGCAGTATGAAAATGGACTAAGACACCTGGCAATACTTTGGTTTTGGGGGATTAACAGTGATCTTTCTTGATGATAATTATTTTTATGTATTTACCACAAATTCAACCCCAACCATCCCCCCACCCCCATTGTCTAAACCTTTTATTAACACAAGAAATATTCTATCAGTTTCATCTTTTGGAGATGACTTTCCTGAAAACTTCTAATTCACTCAATTTACATGGCAACTTTCAAGACCTGTTGCAGAGCTATCCCCTAGGTTCTCATCCTGGAAGTTTCTTCTCTTTCTTTCTTGTGTTAGAATCTTTGTTTCTTCAGTTCTGAGTCTTTCTCTTCATTTACTTCCCCATTTTAGTGGACCACATTCTTCAGGAGCCTCTGGAGAATGAAAGATGGGAGGTAAATTTTTTGATACTTGTATACCTTTAAGTGTATTTATCCCATCTTCACATTTAATTGATAGTTTTGCTGGATATGAAATTCTAGGTGGCAAATCATTTTCCCTCACAAGTTTAAAGTCATTGCTCTGTTGTTATTTTATAGCTTCAACTGTTGTTGATAAGAAACCAAAATGCCATCATTATTTTGGATTGTGCGTAAAACCTATTCTTTCTGGAATTTTTTTTTTGTGTGTGTCTGCTCTTCTTTCTTATGTCCTGAAGTGTTACAATAATGTGCAGTAATGTGGGGCTGTTTTCATCCATTGTGCTCAGCATTCACTCTGGAAACCTGTCTTCAGTTATGTTCACATTTTTCAAACTTGGTTTTAATTTTATCCCTCAACATGATCTTTTGAAACATGTCTATTACACCGCAATTGGATTTCCTAAGTTAATCATCTGATTTTCTTATTTTTGTTCTACTACTTACTACTTCTGTCCTTTTCCTACTTTCTGAGGGGCTTCCTTATTATTTCTTCTGTGTGTGTGTGTGTGTGTGTGTGTGTTTTGAGACAGCATCTTGCTCTGTCACCCAGGCTGGAGTGCAGTGGTGCCAACCTGGCTTACTACAGCCTTGACTTCCTGGACTCAAGTGATCCTCCTGCCTTAGCTTCCTGAGTAGCTGGGACCACAGTAGTGCACCGCCGTGCCTGGCTAATTTTTTATTTTTTATTTTGTAGAGAGAGGGTCTTGACATATTGCTCAGGCTGGCCTCAAACTTCTAGGCTCAAGCAATCCTCCTGCCTGGGCCTCCCAAACTGTTGGGATTACAAGCTTGAGCTACTGTGCCTGGCAATTATTTCTTTTAGTCTTTCTGCTATTTTAAATTTCTACAATCATCTTTTAAATTTTTAAACATCAATTTTATAGAGGTATAATTTATACAAACAAAACACACTTATTTAAGGGTACAGCTTAATAAGGTTTGACCATGTATACTCAATCAATACATGGACATTTCAATTACACCAGAATGTTTCCTCATGTTCCTTTGCAGGGTTTTATTGTACATCTTTTTTATCTGTTTACTTTAAACCTATCTATTTTTATATTTAAAGTGGCTCCTTGTACATAGCATATAGTTGTGTTTTTATTCTTTATGCAGACTGACAACCTCTGCCTTTTAATTGGCATGTTTAGATCATTTCATTTAATGTAATTATTTATCTGGTTGGATTTAAATAGACCATCCATTATGCCATTGGTTTTCTATTTGTCCATCTAATAATTGTTCATTTTTCCTATTTTTCTACCTTCTTTTGGATTAATTGAATTTTTTTTTACTGTTCAATTTTGTTTTTACTCTTGGTTTATTCACTATAATTCTATTACCATCTTTTAATTTCTTTCAAGAGATTCTTTTTGATTTCTGAGTATTCGTTTTTACGCCATCCTATTTTTGTCTCATAGGTACATTTTTCTATAAAAAATATTAATACATTTTTGAGGTTTTCTTTCCATTGCACAGTCTTTCCAAGTTTCTTGCCTCTGTCTATTTGTCTTCCTTAACAAATTTTTGTAAACATTCCTGGTATACAACATGATGTTTTGAAATATGTGTACATTGTGGAATGGCTAAATCAAGCTAATCAATATATGCATTACCTCACAAAAGTATCAGCTATTTGTGGCAAGAATATTTAAAATCTACTTTTTAAGCAATTTTCAAGTATACATTATTATTAACTATAGTTACCATCGTACAATAGATCTCTTGAACTTATTCCTCCTCTCTAACTGAAATTTTATATCCTTTAACTTACATATCCTCATTTCCCCTCTTGTTACTTCCTACCTCTTCCATGAGTTTGACTTTTATAGATTTCATATATAAGTAAGATAATGCAGTATTTGTCTTTCTGTGCTTGGCTTATTTAACTGAACATAATGTCCTCCAGGTTCATTAATGTTGTTACAAATAAGAAGATTTTCTATTTTTAAGGCTGAATAGTATTCCAGTGTGTATGTACAGCCGATTATCTATATCCACAAGTTCTGCATCTGCAAATTCAACCAACTTTGGAATAAAAAGATTTTTAAAAATGACAGCAGTAGAAAACAGAAACAAAAAACGATACTATATAACAGCTATTTACATAGCATTTACATTGTATTAGGTATTACAGGTAATCTAGAGAGTTTTTTTTTTGTTTGTTTGTTTGTTTTGAAACGGAGTCTCGCTCTGTCGCCCGGGCTGGAGTGCAGTGGCGCGATCTCCGCTCACTGCAAGCTCCGCCTCCCGGGTTCACGCCATTCTCCTGCCTCAGCCTCCAGAGTAGCTGGGAGTACAGGCGCCCACCGCCATGCCCGGCTAATTTTTTGTATTTTTTAGTAGAGACGGGGTTTCACCGTGTTAGCCAGAATGGTCTGGATTTCCTGACCTCGTGATCCGCCCACCTCGGCCTCCCAAAGTGCTGGGATTACAGGCGTGAGCCACCGCGCCCGGACTAGAGATGATTTAAAGTATATGGAAGGTTATGTGTAGGTTATATGCAAATACTATGCTATTTTATATAAGGAACTTGATAATCTGAGGATTTGATATCCTTGAGGTATTTGAGAGACAATTATATATTATATTTTCTTTATTAATTTATCTATTGATAGACACTGAGTTTGATTCTGTATCTTGGGTATCATGAATAACACTGCAATGAACACAGGAGTACAGATATCTCTTCAATATCCTGATTTCATTTCCTTTTGATATATACCCAAGAGTAGAATTGCTGAATCATATGATAGTTCTATTTTTAAATCTTAGTCTCCTAAGAGACTTTCCTCAATGTTTCATGGCATACCATAAGGGATTCCAGTTTAGATATTGACCTACCAACCAAATTGAATCCTTTCTCTTTTGGAGTTTATAAGGTAAGGCACACAGCAGGAGAACAATTAGGCAGCAGTAGGACAGCCACATTGAAGAGAGGCTGGGACAAAGGGAAGCTGAGTCACAAGAATGAGTCAACAGCTCATGACCATTTCAGGGGATGACAAACAGATGCTATGGGGTCTCTGGGACTGTGGATGTCTGTCGTTTTCTGAATGGGGATAAATTACTTACCAGGTCCATGAAGGCGAACTGAGCGACTACTGAAATAAGTTTCTGGGTTGTCCATTTCCTTGTACATCCTTGCAACCAATTCCTACTACACGGTTAAACTGATAATACTTGTGTCTTGTAACCTAAAGGATTGTATTAGGACTGTATGTATCCTGAAGGAACCCCTTTAGGGTTCTCTAGAGAGACAGAACTAGTAGGATAGATATATATGTATAAAGAGGAGTTTATTAAGTATTAACTCACATAATCACAAGGTCCCACAATAGACCATTTCCAAGCTGACGAACAAGGAGAGCCAGTTCCAGTCTCAAAACTGAAGAACTTGGAGTCTGATGTTCAAGGGCAGGAAACATCCAGTATGGGAGAAAGATGTAGGCTGGGGGGCTGGGCCAGTTTAGTCTTTTCACATTTTTCTGCCTGCTTTATATTCTAGCCGTGCTGGCAGCTGATTAGATGGTGCCCACCCAGATTAAGAGTGGGTCTGCCTTTCCCAGCCCACTGACTCAAATGTTAGTCTCCTTTGGCAACACCCTCACAGACACACCCAGGATCAATACTTTGTATCCTTCAATCCAATCAATTTGACCCTCAGTATTAACCATCACAAAGGCCTTAGCACACACAAACAATACAAAGTTGAATTAGAAGAAATAATTAATATAAAGTTAAAATCTGCAGGCTATAGATTTTTGGCTAACAGTTTCACAAAATTCCCATTTTCTCTGGGTGCCTGTAAGGCATATAGACACTAAGAGTGTGTACTCTGTGAGGAATGCTATGTGGATTTGAATCCTGGTTGTGTGACCTGAGCTTCTCTGAGCTATATTTCCTCATCTGCAGGGATAATAATCAAAGATAGTTCCAGAATTTCTTTTTAGAAGAGGCTTGTGCTGGCAATCTGGCTGAAAGGGGAGCTTTACACTGAGCTTGCATAGCACTTTTCAAAAATGTCAATTGTCCACATCAAAGAGTCAGGAATGGGTAATGGTGATTGTTGGTGTGTGTTATGCGTATGTTAAAGACACCTGGTTGTACCATCATTCATAATAACAACACTGGTTTCTTATGAAGGCTAAATTAAATCATATATTTAAAAAGTTTAATATAATGACGAGCAATAAAGTATCCTATACATTATTAATGATAGTATTAAATTGTTATAATAGTTTTATTATCAAGCAAATGAATGAATGAGTTATGACTAGGAAGAGCAAGAATGTCTTGAAGTAAGAGGTAGAAGCATGTTCTGGTGTTTCTACATTGGTTCTTACCAACAGGCTTAATAAACATCTAGTACAAATCTAGAATTGAATGAGTATTAGTTTGTTTGCTGTACTAAATCGTATCTCTTTAACTCTCCAGAGAACTCCTCCTCTGTGGTCACTGCCTGTGTTGAAACTATCTGCTCACTGGATCTTTGCTCTATTACTGTGTCATGCCCTCTTACAACTGCATTTCTAGGGGACTGTCTTTATAGTGTGTACAATGATTTGCTCCCCAAAGATGCTGCTTCTGATTTTTATATTTTTGTCCTGACAGTCAATTCAGTTTCAGCTCCTGATGGCCAGGCACCCTATTGTTTTTCCTGGATTGTTTCCTGCATCAAGTCTTTATTTACTTTGCAAATCTCATATACCTATAGGATAGGGCTGAGACAAGGCACACGGAAACAACCCCCAATGTAGATACAAAAGGTATAGTAAAATTATACTGTTAATCAAATCTTATAAAATGTATTTCTCTTATTTTTGCTCTTTCAGAACCTCCCATGAATTATCATCTAAGTTGAGACATAGTTTTAGGAAGCCATTGTTGCTGAGGCTTGAAGAATTAATGCTCTTTGAGGCAGAATGGGGGCATCTATTTGCCTGCTCCAACTGTTTAAGATAACTCAGCATTCCCATGCACACACATATAGAACTAAATTTGCTTTGATGATATCTCCTTTTTCATCACTGTCATGCTTGCTTCTACTTACATTACTTACTGCTTTTTCATGCTAGATTTGGTGTTGCTTTGGTTTGGCTTTTCTGAACAGGTTTCAGCTTGATTTGTCCCTTTATCTCCATGCGGCCCTTAAGTGCAACTCCGTTGTCCACAGCTTTGACTTGTGGTCTTTAGGAGGGACCTCTCCCTTTGACCCTTCAGTGATTCATCCATCCTTCCTTGGTCATGGGTTGGAAGTTGGGGAGTTGGATATTCTCCAGCTTTTAAGGACTTTGGCTATCATCAGGATGGCCAGCTCTCAACATTTATTTCTATTAACACACAGGAAGGATGACTTTCACATAAACAACACATTCCCACTGGTGTAGCTGGGTTTACTAAAACTCCTACCACACTAGAAATATCTTTAGTCTTTTTCTCCAACCCAAGAATGCAACTAGAAGTGTTAGCAAGAATGGCATTATTAGTAGGATATCTTTAAGTTGACTGTGATTTATAAACATCATTACTTTATAATACAAAATAATACTTCAGATGTACTTCAAAATTGGATAATAAGACACTTCAGTTATTTTTAAGCTTTTTATTTTTAAAGCAGTGGAATTCTTTTTTATCAGGGGCCTTTAACTAAGAAGCCCAACATATAAAAAAAATTGAGAAAATTTCACTGATTGGATTAGGATGGGGTCCAGAACTTGATTCCTTCAGTGTTCTGTGAACCCTAAAGCCCCTCAGTAAAATCCTTTGGGCTTTGCACTGCACAATTTGAAAACTCAGTGGGCTTGCTTACATTGTAAATAGCAAGCAATGATTCCGTGGAGTTGGAACCACTGAACTGTGACAGCATAGTACCATTTGGAATATTGGAACTGAACTTTAGTGCACTGCCCTATTCCATCATTACCATGTTTCTCCTGGCCATTTGGTAATTTTCAGACTCTTCTTGTGACTCATGAAAATGACCTAGGAGACAAGGATGCCTGGACTCCTGCCCTCTCCTAGGCTCTCAATGCCATCTCATCTTCATCCAACTCACCCTCTTCGCCTGGCTCTTGTTTTATTGAGTGCCATCTGTCCACTTTGCCGTGCCCTCTGGAACCCTCTTTCATTGTCAATATACTCCATTATCTACTCCACACCAAGTTTTGCTCTTTTCTGTATGTTTCCTTATCTTAGTTAATGACAACACCATCTTCCCCCTGCTCTCTAAGTCATCATCCCTGATTACTCCCTCTCAAGTACCCTCCACTTCAAATTAGTCACCAATTCCTATGAATTCTAGTTCTGAAGTGTCTCACAAATCTGACACCATCATCGGTCCTCTAAGCTGTTAAAATAACTCCTTGAACACACACCTTTGAATATAGTCTGTACTTTAAAAAGTTTTCTGAATGCAGTGCTTATTAGTTTTAATCTTTCCCAAATGTCTGTGCCATCATTCTTGGCTTCACCCCTGCTTGTTTATATTCTTCCTGGTTTTAATCTCATATTTGGATAAAGATATTTAAGATGTTTTTCTATGCAATGTTTATAGTGGGCTGTCTTTTGAAAGACCAATAGTCATAGCCTTAAGGTAAGATTTATATATATATATATATATATATATGTATGTATATAATACATTTTAGCAATTTTACTTACTTTTATTTTCTTTTTTATTATATATATTTTTATTATACTTTAAGTTCTAGGGTACATGTGCACAATGTGCAGGTTTGTTACATATGTATACATGTGCCATGTTGGTGTGCTGTATCCATTAACTCGTCATTTACATTAGGTATATCTCCACTTACTTTTATTTTCTAGAGAAGAAGTTCTCAACCTTGGTTTTATTTTGATCAGGTATTTTGGAGATCAAAATACCAGGGAGAAGTAAAATAATAGCATGCTTGGAAGCGTGCATGACTCAAAGTCATTTTTACATTGCAGTTGGTCAAAAATCTGAGTTTTCTCAAGGGAGGGTGACATGTTTGATAACATCATCTGATGTGTGTAACTTAAATCTCCCAGTGTCTCAGTTTCCTCATTTGTAAAGTGGATATCTTAATGTAATCCAGATCAATGATACCCAGATTATAGGAAGGCAAAGTTAATTGTATGATTAATGCAGAATTCCTAGCACAGGGTGTTACTCAAAATGAACTTTCAATGACTAGGAGGCATTACAATCAATTCAGAGGAGAGACGTCAGGAAATTTTACAGCTTATAGGTCTTACCTGACCCAGAGATGTACTAAGTTTTGATTGTACTGTGTTTTTTATTCTTTTAAGGTGAATTGGTTACCAACATTAACAAACTGGGGGGATATTATATAAAATACATATTTTAGTTTTCTTTTGAAACACTTGAAGATGTGGTAATACTAACTGATAGTGGTCAAGAACTCTATAAAGTTAATCCTAGTCACTGCTCTATCTATTACTTTATACCAAAGGTGCGTTATTCTTTCACTACCAGTCTGTTTCCACCTCCTGGTCTGAATAATTTTGGTGGATCTGTCCTGTTACTTTAGGGATTAATACATTTGATTTAAATTACATCAACTTTTGCAAATGATAGTACTCTCTCTTCAAAGAGCAAGCATGAGTCATGCTCTTCTGATGGCCTTTCTGATGTAGTTTAAAGAGTTACAAAGCTGTTCATATTCGGTAAACACCTCCCATTTGAAAAACTGTGGTAGGCATGAGTGTCTCCTTGAGAAACACCCTGTTGTTTCTCTCAGGGATTTTGTTATCTAGTAAGAAGGAAAATACAAGGACACGTGTAATCATACATCAGGGAATAATGTGGTTATGTCCAATAATAGAAATACAGAGAGCTGTTGTGCCACAGAGAGAAAAAGTGTATTTGGATGAAATCTGGGAAAGAACAGTGCAGTCTTCATGAAGAGTTTCATTTATTCAGCAAATGCATTTAGCGACATTACACAGAGGAATAAGTGGTGTGTATTGGGCATACAGAACATGCTCTTAAAGGACAGGGAGTCTAATTGGGGAGAGATGAGCAAGTGAGACCAGCAAAGTATTATAGGGAAAGACTACAACGGAAATGGATAACAAATAGTTTAGTGCAGTGATTGATTCTACCTGAAGTTAGAGACATGGGGAAATTTATCTTGGGGGACTCCAAAGAGGATATAACTCTCACATTTGGAATTTAAATGGTGAGCAAGCGCTCAGGTAATGAAGAGGAGATAAGAGTGAGTTTTAGGTAGATTAAGCCAAAGAAAGTAAGATATGTTAATTGAATTTTAAAGAAAAGATAGGGTTTTAATAGTTATACATGGAAATTTGGTGTATTAGGTAGAGAGAAGAGCCATAATTAAGGCATGTGGTTTAGGGCATATTCAAGATTGATCAATAACTCTCTTTGACCCCATCAGAGTGTAGTGAGAGTTTAGAGTAGAAAGAAAGGTGGGTTTTAGATTATGGAAGGCCGTGGGAGCCAAAGCAAAAAGTTTAACTTTAGGAAATGGGGCGTGCCAGAATGTTCTTGAATGTGGAAAGACAGGCCCAAGGCTAAACTGTAAGAGGAGAATTCTGGTGACAAATGTGGGTGCGGGTGGATCATAGTGAGGAGAGACTGGTGTGTGTGTGGGAAGGGGAGGTGAGATTAACTGGACTCGAGACTGCTGAGTCTCTTAAGGATTATTGAAGATTTTGGGGGGGCAATGCCCAGATGTTGCCATAACCTTATCTTTTGTTTTAAAATGAAAGTATTATGTAAACAGAGAGGAGAATAAAAATATTATGTAAAAAGAGAGGAAAACTACACAAATAAACGTTGTACTGGGCACTGTACTGTTTGATTTTTCCAGGAGACCACTGTTGCTGAAAAGCCTTGTTTATTGTGAGGAGGAGGGGAGAAACTGGGGTGAGAAACGTTGCTACCTGTTGCAGCAGCTACCTGATCACCCAAGAGATTTGCATAATTTCTTCCTCCCACTATATCCCATTCCAGCAGCCAATATCTTAACAAAAGGGAAGCTATTATGGAAGAAAATTTAATAAAAATATTCTCTAGGCATTTGTTTGCACTATCTGTAGTCAACATTTTATGGATCCTGACTCATTCAATCCCCATAACAACACTGTGTGGTAGATTATTTATTCCATTTTACAGTTGAAATAACCAGGACTTTGAGAGGGGAAGTGACACATGCAAGGTCATGTAATGAGTAAGTGGCAGGGCTGAGATCTGAACCCAGAAATATCCAGATTCAAAGCCCATTATTTCTCCAACAAATCCATCCTATTATTCTGCATTTTTGTATTATTTTAGAAAATGCTCTTATAAAATATTATCGTTGATATATGTCTCCCAAGTTGATATCACACATCTCAAATTTGTACATTAAGGAAAGAAGCAAATTAAGGAAATTCAGATAAACAGAATACATTCCTTTCCAATTTTGTTCATGCAAGCTTAACTTTTACATACTGAAAAGCCTACTATTACAAAATTAGGCAACCACAAATGTAAATGTTATTTAGTTTTTTTCTTATACTTATTAGACTGATTGTAAGAGTTGATCTCACCTAAGATTAGAAAATAGTTTTGTACATCACCTCCACAGGAATATAAAAAATTAAACTGATAAATTTATGTGCCATTGTGAATTCTTTATGACTGAGTTGTCAATTGCTTTCTTTAGGCAATGAGCCAATGTTTATGAAGTAGCTACAATGGGCAGAGGGCTTTGCCAGGATCTGTGGAAAGTTTCAAAAGATGCAGCTGTAGACATGATTTTCATCACAAGAGAGTTATGATCTAACAAAGAAGATGGACAAAATATATAAAATAGGGGAGAACATGAGCACATATAGAACTACATCTCTATGACATGAGATCATGTATGCATTACTAGAAAACAATGATGACTATAACAGTGATAGATACATGTCTAGGGACTACAAAAATGGCCAGAATTAAGCAGGAGTGCTTCTCATAGACTGAATATGATAAAGTAGTCAATTCTGAGAAAAATTTGGCAGAAATTTTATAAAATTAGAAACAAAAGGAGTCTGTAGAATTCAAATACTTTTTAGACTTTTAATCTTTCCAAGTTGTGCAGTCTGTGACTAATAAGTGATATAAAATAGAAAAACTTCAAACAAATTTAGCATGCAATGTTTTACATTCTCAGTAGAGCTTATAAACTTCATTCGTTTTCAAAGTTGCTCAAATTTAAACAGAAGATAACTGGAAAGCTAGTGGGTAAAAATGAAACAGTACACAGAGTCATCAAAACAAATATATATGATATTATGATAAAAGTTGCTCATATTAATTCATGATAACATTCATTAATTTAGATTTAACAGTAAAATAAGGTATTATATTGAAGTTATGATTCAGTGAAAAATCCACTGAAGTAGCAACTATTCTCTGGGTCTTCCAGTTTTGAATATAGTTGTCAATAATTATTGATTAAGAATAATAGTCATATTCACAATAGTTTAATCTATATTAGTGATAGCCTATGGTTCACATTAGTCATGGAATGTGGCAGTTTTGAATTAGGGGTTTGAATTCTGAAAGTCCTTAGTTTCTGCCATTCTACTCTATGTATAACCAGAAAAACAATCCTTTATGCTCCTTGAGGAAAAGTATAATACAATGGCTCAAGAGCTGGATGAAAACAGAAGGAATTATGGTTTTATTTCTGACTTAGAACAGGATTAGCTCCTACTTTGAACAAATGTTGTATACAGTAGTCCCTCGTTATCTGTAGGGGATATGTTCCAAGATGCCTGAAATTGTGGATAGTAGTGAACCAGATTGCTGTCAATTGGAACAAATTTCTGTTTATGTCTTCTACCTACAGATTTAATGCCTTTTCTATTTTGCCTAAGCACTTATGCACTGTGGATATAATTTTTGCAGTTTGAGGTAGGACAGCAAAACTAGCATGAATTTCTTTTTCCTTCTTCACAGTTTGACAGATTTGTTCTTACCATAGATCTCAGCAACCTCAGTGTATGATTTTTTTCTTTACTTATTAAGTCAAGGGCTTTCACCTTTTCACTTAAAGGAAGCACTTTGCAGCTTCTCTTTGGCATATCCGAGTTGCCAGTATCACTACTTTTGCGCTTTGGGGCCATTATGAAGTCAAATAAAGATTATTTGAACACAAGCACTGACATACCACAACAGTTAACCTAATAACTGAGGCGGCTGCTCAGTGACTAACAGTCTGGTTGATTAGGCAGCAAGGATATGCTGGACAAAGGAATGATTCACGTCCCTACATGAGACAGAGCAGGATGGCCTGAGATTTCATCATACTACTCAGAATAGCACACAATTTTAAACTCATGAATTTTTCTTTCTAGAATTTTCTATGTAATATTTTTGTACTGCAGTTGACTGTGGGTAACTGAGACTGGAAAAAGTGAAACCACAGGTAAGGAGGGACTACTACATCTTTGAGCACTGATTTTTTTTTCATTTGTCCTTTCATTCATTCATGTTTTTATGAGGGTCTACAATGTGCTAGGTACTGTTATAAAGTGGATCAAAACAAAACTAGTCCTTGCCTTATTAGAACTTATATAATGGAGGGAAAAGAAGTAAATACTGATAAAGATGAAATTTCAGATTGTGAAAGATCTTTGAAAAAAAAGTAGGATGCTATGAGAGAGAACCAGGGGCTGGCAGTGAACCAGTTTTAGGTTATCTGGTTAGGAAAGTCTCTCTGAGGTAGTGACATTTGAGCAGGGACTTGAGCTGGCAATTTCAAGAGAAGAAAATGAGAAGGCCATGCCAGGCCCAGGAAACAACACTTACAGAGACCCTAGTGAAAGGATGTGGCAAGTATTAATATGAGGAACCTAGAGGAGGCTGATATGAGTGTAGCTTTGGAAATAAAGAGGAGAGTGGTCATGGGTTAGAATAAGTTTTGAGAAGCTAGATCAGCACAGGGCTTCTTACACCTTAGTCATGTTAAGGGCATTGGATTTTTATTGTAAGGACAGGGGACGCCTTTGAGTTTTAGTTGAGGAATGACAGGAGCCTCAGACTGTTGTATGGAGGGTGGATTGAAGGGAGACAAAAGGAATCAGGGAGAACAATGAAGAGAAAGAACTTTAATACATTGCCTAGTTGATAGATGATGGTAGTAGACTTTCCCACAGGGATGACAGTCTAAATGAACGGAAGGGGAAAATCCCAGGATGTATTGTGGAAGCAGAATGAATAAAACTCATCAATAAATCAAATGTGGGATAAGGAGAGGTGTAAAAAATGACAGGAGCTATTTATAAAAATTATATTCTGGCTTAGAATAATATACTAAACATCAAGGGCATTGCTACCAATATTATAAAGGTAATAACTTTTTAATTAGACTTTATTATTTGAGTAGTTTTAGTTTCACAGCGACATTGGGTGCAAGGTACAGAGATTCCCCAATACTCTCTGCCCTCACACATATGTAGCCTCTCCCCATATTAACCTCTGCCACCAGAGTGGGACCTGTGTTATAACTGATAAACCTGCATGATGCATCATTTCATCCAGACTCCATAGTTTACATGGCCCACAGTTTACGTGGTTCACTCTTGGTGTTATACATTCTATAGTTTCAGACCAATTTATATTAACATGTACTCACTACTATAATATCATACACAGTAGTTTCATTGCCCTCAAAATATTCTGTGCTCTGCCCACTTATTGTTTTCTTACTGCTACTCACTGTAAACCACTGCTCTTTTTACTGTCTTCATAGTTTTGCCTTTCCCAGAATGTCATTTAATGGGAATTATACAGTATGTAGCCTTTTCAGATTGGTTTCTCTTACTTAGTAATATGCATTTAAGTTTCCTTCAATGTCTTTTCATGGCATGATAGCTAACTGCTTTTGGCACTGAATAATATTCCATTGTCTGGACAAATTACAGTTTATCTACCGATTCACCTACTTAAGGATGCCTCAGTTGTTTCTAAGTTTTGGCAATTATAAATAAAGCTGTTTTAAACATCCATGTGTAGGTATTTGTAGGGACATGGTTCCAATTTCTTTGGGTAAATACCAACGAATGTGATTACTGGATCATATGGCAAGGGTATATTTAGCTTTGTAAGAAACCACCAAACTGTCTTCCAAAGTGTCTGTGCCATTTGCATTCTCACCAGCAGTGAATGAAAGTTCCTGTTTCTCCATATTCTTGCCAGCATTTGATGCTGTTAAGGTTTTGGATTTTAGCCATTGTAATAGCTGTGTAGTAATTGTAAAGAAAACAAC
The DNA here is from genome assembly GCF_000001405.40 of Homo sapiens. Lineage (NCBI taxonomy): Eukaryota > Metazoa > Chordata > Mammalia > Primates > Hominidae > Homo > Homo sapiens. Next base: position 77,124,465 of record NC_000012.12, read on the forward strand.
TGCTTGTTTGTTGATTGTTGCTTTTATTTGCATTTCCCAACATCAAAAAATTCAGATAATGAATTCATTTCTTTTTCCACTTGGAAGAAACATCTTGAAAAAATTTCAATGTTAAACAATACATGCTACTAAATTGTAAGAGAAACCATGAATTTAGAGATAAACCTTTAATCCAGAAGTAGCAAACACTGAAATAATTTGATACCTAAATTACAATTTTAGACCACGAAAATCAGCCAAAGGGACTTAAAAGTATAAATAAATTGGCCTAAGAATCTTTTTTAGGGACCATCCTGCTCTTTCCTTGAAGAAAAATTACCAGTCTTAAAGACACTTTGGTTTGGAAACACTATAATATTTGAGGTTAATCACCCTTCCAGAAAAAAGTCCCTATGGGGTTAAGGCAACAGTGTGGGTTACTAGAGAGAATTCAGGGATGAACAAAGAGATGGTTATTCTGAGTCAGAAAGGACTTGGTCATATATTCAGTTCTGGAAACATCAGTCATCCTTGCTGTGCAAATCAGTGAGAACAAGAAATATCTCTTGTGTTAGAGAAAGGATCTTAGTAAAAACGCCCACATGGGGCATTATCTTTGTCATAGAGAGAGAGAGAATTCTAATAAATAGCATTTGAAGTAGATGGATCCATGGCGACATGTCAACCTCCTTTGGTGCCCTAGGACCATTGGTAAGTGAAGGCCCAGAAGGCAACCTAAAGTGGGAAAGCAAAGAGCAAAAAAAGCTCAGATTTCTTAATTTTAACTATTACCTGATAAATGTAGTTCAATGAAATGGAATGAGCATCAACAAATGCTCCAGGGGCGCATAGAATTTCAGAGATTTCAGTAAGCTCCTGGAAGCTGACACAAAATCTGCAAGCTTATTGTAGGAGGGTCTGACACTCAGATGTAGATCTTTGGAGTCATGTAGATAAGGGCCTTCTTCAAGCAGGACCAGGGGCTGGGAGGGATTGGAGTACAGCAGTCATTGTAGAAAAAGAGCAATGAGGTCTGGGGAGCAGGAGGGAGCCTGGGGACTTAGACTTGAACTCACTGAGAATCAGGTGTGCAGAGGGCTTCAGTATCCCACAAGACTTAGTTGATGCTATCAAAAATGTGACTCAGCTCACAATAAATTACCACTTCACACCCACTAGGATGGCTAGAATAAAAAAGACAGTAAGTATTTTCAAGAATGTTGAAAAATTGAAACCCTCTTAGATCACTGGTGGGAATGCAAAATAATACAGCCACTTTGGAAAACAGGCTGGCAGTTCCTCAAATGGTTCAACATACTTACCATACGATCCAGCATTTCTACTCTTACGTATATAACAAAGAGAAATGAAAACATAAGTCTGCATAAAAACTTATATTCAAATATTTATAGCAGCATATTCATAATGGCCCAAAAGTCTATCAACTGATTAATGGATAAGTAAAATGTGGTATATCAATACAATGAAACATTATTTGGTGATTACAAGAAATTTACTTCTACATGGTACAACATGGTTGAACCTTGAAAACACTGTGCTAAGTGAAAGAAGCCAGTCACAAAGGAATACATATCGTATGATTCCATTTACATGAAATGTGCAGAATAGGTAAATCTATAAAGATAGAAAGTAGGCCAGGCACAGTGGCTCACACCTGTGATCCCAGCACTTTGGGAGGCTGTGGTGGGAGGATCCCTTGAAGCCAATAGTTCAAGACCAGCCTGGGCAAAAAGCAAGATTCCTACCTCTAAAAAGAAAAAAAGCTGGACATGGTGGCACTTTCCTGTAGTCTCAGCTACTTGGGAGGCTGAGGTGGGAGAACTGCTTGAGCCCAGGGGTTTAAGGCTGCAGTGAGCAATGATTGTGCCACTGCACTCCAGCCTGGGTAAAAGAGTAAGATCCTGTCTTAAAAAAAAAAAAAAAAAAAAAAAAGAAAAGAAAAAAAAAAGAAAAAAGAAAGTAGATTAGTGGCTTCCCAGGGCTTAGGGGGCATGGAAGGGTCAGAGACAAGAGCTACGGGGTTTGTTCTTTTTTGGGGGGGGGTGACAGAAATCTTCTGAAATTAGTTGTGCTGACAGATGCACAACTTTGTGACTATATTAAAAGTTATTGAATTATACTCTTTAAATCGTTGAATTGTGTGGTATGTGAATCATAACTTCCCCACTGCCTCCAAAATAAGTATGTCTTCACTAACATCCTATCTTTGTTTCCAGTACCTTAATCTGACAAGAGCGGGCAGGGCTGATTCCCCAAGAAGGGATTGAAGATAGAGGACAAAACCAGCCCCATTTTTATTTCAATAAAAACAAAGTAGAATTATAGGTGTTAATTTTGCAGAGTTTTAATGGGTTGATTGATTTGGTGTAAACTCTGGGGCTACTGGCAATAAAAATTCTTTGGAAAAAAGACAAAGTTGAAATAATGTCAGAGAGAATACATCAGGAAAAAGGTTGAAAATGTAAGTTCTATTAAACACAACATACTTAGAGGGGGAGAAAATCACAGAAGAGCCAGTTATGGCAGCTGAAAGAGGGGCAATGCTAAAGACTCACATTTTTAATTTAAAAATCAGTGTTCCCTGGGCAGCAAGAAATTTTTGCCTATACTATATACAAAAAATTCATTCAAAGAGAATAAAAGACCTAAACCTGAGAGCTAAAACTCTAAAACCTTTAGAAGAAAACATAAGGGAAATGCTTCATGACATTGAACTTTACAGTGGTGTCTTGGATATGATACCAAAAGCATGGACAATGAAAGAAAAAAAAACACATAGATTTCATCGAAGTAAAAACTTCTGTGCATTAAGTAACATTCTCAACAGAGTGAAAAGTCACAGAGGAAATATTTGCAAATCATATATCTGATAAGGGATTAATATCCAGAATAAATGAAGAATTCCTACAATTTAGCAACAAGAAACAAACAACCCAATTTAAAAAATAGACAAACGGCTTGAGTAGATATTTCTCCAAAGAAGATATACAAATGAACAATAAGCACATGAAAAATGCCCAATATCACTAAAAGCAGGGAACTGCAAACCAAAACCACAATGAGATACCACCTCATATGATTAGGATGACTAAAAAACCAGAGAATAACAAGTATTGACAAGGATATGGAAAAATTGGAACCCTTGTGCATTTGTAGTGGGAATGTAAAATGGTGAAGCTGCTATGGAAAATAATATGGCAGTTCCTCAAAAAATTAAAAATGCAATTACGATATGATCCAGGCATCCTACTTCTGTGTATTAAAAGCAGGGACTTGAATGGATTTTTATACACCCATATTTATAACAGCATTGTTCACAATAGCCGAAAGGTGGAAGCAATAAAAGTGTCTAGTGACAGATGAATGGATAAAAAATAATGGCATATACTACATACAATGGAATATTATTAGCCTTAAAAAGGCAGCAAATTCTGACACATGCTATAACATGCATAGATCTGGGAGACATTATGCTAAGTGAAATAAGCCAGTCACAAAAAGATGAATATTGTATTATTCAATTTATATGAGGTACCTAGATTAGTCAAAAATCATACAGACAGAAAATATAGGCCGGGCACAGTGGCACATGCCTGTAATCCCAGCACTTTGGGAGGCTGAGGTGGTGGATCATCTGAGGTCAGGAGTTCGAGACCAGCCTGACCAACATGGAGAAACCCCGTCACTACTAAAAATACAGGCGTGGTGGCACATGCCTGTAATCTCAGCTACTTGAGAGGCTGAGGCAGACGAATTTCTTGAACCTGGGAGGCGGGGGTTGTGGTGAGCCGAGATTGCGCCATTGCACTCTAGCCTGGGCAACAAGAGCGAAACTCCATCACAAAAAAAAAAAAAAAGAAAGAAAGAAAATAGAATGGTAGGTTTTAGAAATTGGGTGAAAGAGAGAATGGGGAGTCATTGTTTAATAGTTTTGGAGTTTCAGTTTGAAATGGTGAAAAAATTCTGGAGGTGACTTGTGGTGATGGTGGCACAACAATGTGAATGTACTAAATGCCACTGAATTACAACTGAAAAATGGCTAAAGTGGTAAATTTTTTGTTCTGTATATTTTATCTAAATACAAAACAGAAACAGGCTGGGCATGGTGGCTCACGCTTGTAATCCCAGCACTTTGGATGGCTGAGGCAGGTGGGTCACCTGAGGTCAGAAGTTTGAGACAAGCTTGGGGAACATGGTGAAACCCTGTCTCTACTAAAAATACAAAAATTAGCCAGGTACGGTGGCACATGCCTGTAGTCCCAGCTACTCAGGAGCCTGAGACAGGAGAATCGCTGAAACCTGGGAGACGGAGACTGCAGTGAGCTGAGGTCATGCCAATGCACTCCAGCCTGGGAAAGACAGAGCAAGACTCCATCTCAGAAAACAAACAAACAAACAAAAAATAGGCAGTGGGCTGGATTAGGTCTGTGAGCCATAGTTTGTGAATACCTGATCTAGGTGCACTCTTGATTCACACCAATTCAATAGCAGTGTGCCTGCCGTGGTTTGAATGTGTTCCCTCCAAAATTCAGGTGTTGCCAATGTGATGGCATTAAGAAGTGCAGCCTGTAAGAGGTGATTCAGCCCTGAGGGCTCCTCCATCATTAATGGGATTAAGGCCCTGGAGGCATTACATAGCCAGCCAGTATTTGGCTAGCTTGCCCTTCTGTCTTCTGCCTTCTAGGAACACAACAAGAAGGTCCTCATCACACCAAATACTGGCACCTTGGTCTTGGACTTCCAGCCTCCAGAACTGTAAGAAGTAATTTCTGTTCTTTATAAATTACACAGTCACAGGTATTCTGTTATAGCAGCACAAAAGAACTAAGACAGAGACCTTGGCAAATAAGCTAATCTAAATTGTGTTTTCCTTTCAGGAATAGTATCTGTCTTTATAGGAATGTGGTAAGATAAAATAAGATAATGCAATATTTACCAAGCTCCCTGAGGATAAAAATTCCCCAGAGTGCTTGTTAAAATAAGTTTGTAGACCCAGGAGGACAAGGGGTCTGGGAAGCTAAACAAACATTAGAAAAGCCTGAGAAGCAACAACAACAACAACAACAAAATGCACTTGTGCTTTACTATGCTTGTACTTTACTTTTTTTTTTTTTTTAAACCACAGCCACTACTGCCCGTAGTAAGTGGTCAGTAAATATACGTAGCTTGTTTTTAAAAAATTTCTAACTCCTTTGAACAAATTTCCTTATTAGAGCTTTTTGCTATTATGCTACCTCCCCTGCCCCTAAAGTCTAAGGTATAATATGAATTTTCACAAAGGCTGAGGAAATGCATTCTGTACACTGTTGAATAGTGAGCTTGATGCCTCTGGAAAGTCTCTGAGACACAGGTTATTTTCACAGGTGTCATTTATTAAGAATGATCAGACTTACCTCCCCAAGTCAAAGTTGGCTAACTGGAAGGCCTTCTGGGGACCGCCAGTAACTCACCTGGGTCAAGCAGGCCCTGCTGGAATTAAGAACTAAAGAGTGACTGACTTTCTGCAAGGGGATATCTGCCACTTAGCTCTTGCCCTTTCTGGCTGTGTGCAGCGTTTTCAAGAGAATACAGGCATTTGAACTTTAAAAACGTTATCAGCAAATTTTCATGATTTTTATTAGCTTATTGGCCTCCAGGTTTTCATTTTGGATCAATTCATTCAATGATGGTTAGGCTCTCACTTCTCTGGCTGAATCTTAGAGGTAAATGACCAGTGAAAGAGCAGTGCTTGCTCCTGGGAACTAAAGATGTTTAAGAATCCAAGTGTTTAGTATTATGGACAATGAAGGAAGTTAAACTAACTACCCAACTCCCCATTCCAGATAGCCTATGTAAGGTTTTCCCCGGGTGGCCTCACAGTTGAGGCATTCTCCCTCAAGAGATGAAATGTTAGTAAGTCCCCAAGGTACAATGCGATGTGCTTGGATTGGATTCCTGCCAATGGCTCTGTCCGGGAAAAGCAGATGGGGCTGAGTTAGGTATTAGGGCGTCTTTCAACTGAGAAGCTTGTGACAAAAAGAGCAGTCTCACCTCCTGACCAAAGCTCAGTTTTCCTATAGTGTTGCCACTGCCCTCACCTACCACCATCACTAGCCTCGCTCAAATTCCTGTGCACCAGAGCGGGGCCCTGTCCCTTAGGGTTCATGCAGAAGCAAGAACTTCTCTTTCACTGGTTATTTACAAGGAATTGGTGAACCCCTTATTGTGTTGGAAAAGTAAACACAAAACCTGTCATTTAAGTTCCCAAATTTATTCTAATTATCTGGTATTTTGATTTATGAAGAACAGAGGCTGCACTGATAAAGGACTGGAAAAAACACTGGGCTGGGAGCAAATGCCAGACCTGCTATGTAATGGATATGAGGTTTTGGGCAAATTCCTTAATGGCACTAAATCTGCTTTTTCATTTGTAAAGTAGGGATCATAGTACCTACCACAAGAATATCTTTAAAGGTCATATAATATTTTCTTCGCTGAAATGTCTTCTATTGTGCCTAGAGCTCAGTAAGCAGTGAGTGAACATTTATAGAATCAGAATGATGGAATTGCTGCTTTTAAAATAGCAGATATTGTGAGTTGAAAGGTAATGAAATAAAACCACTTTTAGATTTCCAATTTTTAAGTTGATGTTTTATATAATACCTTAATGAAAGTTCTTAGGTACACTTTTTCATAAAATTTTTGTCTTGAAATAATTGTTGATTCATGTGCAGTCTTAAGAAATAATACAGAGAGTTTCCATATGCCTTTTATCCAGTTTCTTCTAATGGCAACATCTTATATAACTATAGCGTAGTATCACAGCTGGGAAATTGCTATTGATAAACTCCATCAACCTTATTTAGATTTTATCAAGTTTACATGCACTCATTTATTATCTAGTTCTATGCATTTTTTATATGTGTGGATTATAAAGCTCGAGAGCCAAGATACAGAGCAGTTCCATCACAAGGGTTCCTTATGATACTCTTTTATAGTCATATCCATTTCTCTCCTTCCCTCAGCCTCTAGCAACCACCAATCAATTTCCTTTCTCTAATTTTGTCATTTGAAAAATGTTATATAAATGGAATCATATGGTATATAATTTGAGATGGACTGTTTTTCATTCAGAACAATTCCCTTGAGATTCATCCAAGTTGTTGCATTTATCAACAGTTCATTTCTTTTTATTGCTGAGTAGTATTTCATGATTTGGAAAGACCAAATATAGTACTAAGTACCATAGTTTGTTTATCTCTTCACTTGTTGAAGAGCATTTGGCTACTAGGAGTTAATTTCTGGCTATTAGGAGTAAAACTGCTGTGAATATCCATGCATAGATTTTTGTGTGTGTACGAATCTAAATTTTCACTTGTACCTTATTTTTTTATTTTGTTAATTCATTATTTAGTGGTGCCCAGTATTTTTAGCTAATGAATAAGGAAAATATACAAATTAGCAGTGAATATTCTATATTTGTTGGTAGAATTTTTTTGGTTGAAATAGGTATAAATTTGCCATTTTGTTGATAGAATATAATTAAATTATATTGCTTGACACACAGGACCTTGTATATGAGCTACATATATATATATAATTTATAAATATCATATATCTGTGCCAGCTGCTGGTTAAAATGCATGGCTGCATTTACACAGGAAAGATGTCTATAGGCCAATAAACACATTTGCTTGCAAACTAGCTCCCAAGCAACATACTCTTACAACTGTAGCATGTGCTGGAATTAAATGCCGTATTACAAATAAGTACAAATATTTGCACAGTTTCCTTTATATATCCTATTTCTCCAATTCAGATTTCACAGAAGTGTTAAGTAAATATAATACTTGGCACATGCCCAGACCACATCAATTATTACTCATCTAGTGCCACTAAATGAGAAGCTCTTTGCATGGGTGATAACTGATAAGGTTACAGCAACTAAACAGTTGTTTAATAATATTAGCAAATCCATATGCAATGCTTATCTTATACCAATCGCTGTGTTGATGAGTTTATATGCCTATGCTGCTTATTAATGTGAAATAATCTTCACTAAAATCCTAGGCTATATATACTATCACTAAATTCATCTTATAGCTAGAAATAGGGAAGCACAGAGTGATAAGTAACTTTTCCAATGTCTCATAGCTAATAATTGGTGGAACTAGGATGAACCCAGATAGACTTGTTCCAAAGACTATCATTTAACTACTATACTCTTTACAAGATTAGGATTAGCAAATCCAAATAAGCAAACAAACCAAAATAAGATTTTTTTTGAGACAGGGGTCTCCCTCTGTTGCCTAGGATGGAGTGCAGTGGCACAATCTGGGCTCACCACAGCCTCCACCTCCTGGGCTCAAGCGATCTTCCCATCTCAGCCTCCTGAGTAGCTGGGACTACAGGAATGTGCCACCACACCTGGCTAATTGTTATTGTATTTTTTTTTTGTAGAGACGGGGTTTCACCAGGTTGCCCAGGCTGGTCTCAAACTCCTGAGCTCAAGCAATCCACCTGCCTAGGCCTCCCAAAGTGCTGGGATTACAGGTGTGAGCCACCATGCTTGGCCACAATAAGATGTTTTAATTAAAATTGAGGACCTGGATTCTTTGCTTGTCAGGATGAAACAAGAACTCATTCTCTCAACTAAACTAGGTTTTTAAAGAAATGTGGTATAGTGGGGATTTTCAAATACAGCCTGAGTCTTGCTTATCTTAGAATGAGAGACATCAGGGCAGGTTCACTCATGGTCTGTCAGGAAGAAGGCCTGAGAAAACTCTCCAGAATGAGCTTATTTCAAGAGAACAGACAATTAACAGGCAAGCTGGATAATTAGAAGTGGGAGCCAATTTTAAATACAACATATTGTCTGCTATTGAGATTTGCTTTTCGGCATAATGCTCATGAATTTATCTCTAGGAAACTGAGGGCTAAAGATGAAAATGGGAAGAACCCATTTTCACCAAAAACTTAGTAACACAGCAAGATCAGTAAGCAAACTGTATTCGTTCTGGTTAAAGAAGCATGGTACAAAAAAAAAATGAAGGGATTAAAAAGGTGAGTACAGAGACTATGGAACTTTGGTATATTTAGGGCACCAACATATTAATAACACTTGCAGCTTCAACCAAACCCTGCCCCCAGAACCATGAGAATAGTCAATATCTTTTATGGGAGCATCTGGCAAAATCCAGAATGAAGCTCTGGCTCTGATGTCTGGGGCCAGTGGTTTTTATCAGTAGTATGAGGCAGTGCTTTTTGTCATTAGGTTATAGTGCCCTTGGCACAGATATCAGCACCACGGACAGCAGACGCTGATGGTGTACTAGGGTACCTCCCTTACAAGACTTCGCAAGTCAGTGGCAGGTTCAACACTGGACACTCCAAATGGGGGCTGAAGAAGTGTGGAGAAAGAATGAGGGGGCACCAAGCAGAAGTGGAGAAGATGGTTTTTTGCCTGCTCATTTAAGAGAAACCTCAAAAGGGCACACAGAAAAATTTGAAGATAGAGAAGGAGAGCTTTTAGAGAATGGAGGCTCTAAAAAATGGTGGAGCTGCATCTGGAGAGGTACTGTTTATTATCATTAATTTGATATCATTGTTATTATTTGTGTGAGTCTGGTACGTTGATGCAGCAAGGGAAAATCCAGGTTACAAATGTAGTTCCCTTCTCTAAGAATAGGTTAGGAAGCATTTTGTTGTGTATATTTTTAATATAGTCTTGACTAAAGACACAGAGGAGTGTTTGATTTAGAGCTCAATGGTGTAATGAATGAAAGTGTATTTGGATTCAGAAGCAGTACTCTACATCTTCCTTTATTTTGCCTTAAGTATGAGAGGGATGCAAAATACATACAAGCAGTATTTTCCAGTGATTTAGAGAATTCCTTAGAAAATGACCAAGTAACAGGAAATGTTCTGGTTATCTATTGCTGTATAACAAACAATTCAATCTTAGTGGTATAAAAAATAACCATTTGTTTATTGTTTATGGTATTTTATGGCAGGCCAACAGAAAGACTAGACTGGAAACGAGGTTAGCAGCTGACACTTCCATCCACAGGTAGAATTTCTTCTTTTTTTGGAAAACCTCAGCTCTGTTTGTAAAGCCTTTTAACCAATTGAATAAGGCTAGCCTAGGTTATCCAGACAATCTTTACATATAGTCACCTGATTATAGATGTGATGTTAATCCAATCTATAAAGTTACCTTCACAGCAACATCTATATTAGTGTTTAATTGAACTGGGTACCAGATTCTAGCCCAGTTTGACACACACACACACACACACACACACACACACATACACACACACACGCACATACCTTGTCTCTGCTCCATGATGCTTGCAGTTTCACTTGGGAAAGCTCAAATTGTTGGAGTGATCCACACTGCTGGGGAACCACTGGGGGGCTTCTTCATTCATGAATTTGGTACCTGACCTGAAGGCTGGGCTCAGCTACACCTGTTATCTGGAGCTCCTGCAACTGGCTTCTCCATATGGCTTCAGCTTCTCACAGTGTGATAACTGGGTTCTGAGAAGGAGTAAGTGGGAGCTGGGCAGCCTCTTCTGATCTAGCCTCAAAAATGCAGCATCACTTCTACACATTTTATTGGTTATAAACATGTCATCAAACCTGGCCCAAATCCAAGAGGAGGGGAATTAAACTCCATATTTGATGGAATAGTGGCAAGGTCACATTGCATGAGAGTATGTAGGACAAAGGATATTGGTGTGGCCATCTTCTGAAAATATAGTCTGTCACAGGATAGGAAAATGAACAATGCTTCTGCCAAATAAAATAAAAGATATTGTTAGACATTTACTAACTGTTTACCAACTCTCCTCAGACACTCAAAAATGGCTGAAATTAATAGCACTAGAAATTGATCTCTGTAAACATATTGCTCTTTCTTTGTCTTCAAATACCTATCAAGTTAGAGGCTTGTTATTAAAAATGTGACAATTTGAGACTGGTCTGGAATTGACCCACTTAACTTCGGTTACCATTTGGGAGTGGGGCAGACATTGGAAACTATATTAATGATCTGCTGTATAACATATTACCATAGACTTAGTGGCTTAAAATAACACATTTATTAGCTCACAGTTTCTGTGACTCAGGAGTCTAGGCATGGTTTGGCTGGGTCTTCTATCATAGGGTTTCTTGCAGGACTACAGTCAAAGTGTCAACCAGGGCTGGAGTCTCATTTGGGGCTTAACTGAGGAAGGATCCACTTCTAAGCTCGCATGATTGTTGGCAAGATTGGTTCTTTGTGGGATGTTGGACTGTGAGTTTTGGTTTCTATCAGGTTATTTGCCTGAGGTCACTTTTAGTTTCTTGCCATATGGATCTCTCCATATGCAATTTCACTACATCAAAGCTAGCAAGAGACAGAGTCAATGATAAGAGTCTGCTAGCAAGATGGAACATAAGATTCTATGTAACCTAATCACAGAAATGGATCCCATCACTTTTGTCATATTCTATTGATTAGAAGCAAGTAGTAGTTTTCACTCATACTGAAGAGGAGGAATTATACATAGGTATGGTTACCAGAAGGTGGGAACAATTTGGGGCTCTGTCAGTATTTTTTCATTACAGAAACATTAGACAAAATTGCTGGAGCTTTGGAGAAGTCCCCTCTTCCAGATCAGTCTCTGTGTCAGGAAGCATTTGATATAAAGGTGAGGGTGGGAGTTCAATCCAAGATGATAAACAATTCTAAATGCATCATTGGGGAAAAAAATGAATCATCTGAAATTCCAGGTGGGTAGACAAATAGGCAGCCAGAAAGTCAGACTAATAGACAAGAAATTGGCTTGAAATGTTTCAGCAATGCCTGACAGGGATTAAGGGGCAGATCGTGGTTCCTGAAAGGAAGCTGACAAGAGCAAGCCAGAGAAACCCCATTTCTACAGGAACTGTGGGTCTAAGTGGTTTACTGAAGTGGAAGCTCACAACTAGGGGAACAAAGCAAAGGCCCATTTACTAGAATTGTAGAATAATGGAGTTTAAAAATATCAGAGTTTCCATCTAGGCTAAGAATTCTGTGAGGCCAGAGATATTGTGTCTTGGAATATATGACTTAATATGTTAAATGTTGATTGTAGGAGGTGACAGAGTGGAGAACTTGCCCCTCTCTGGGAGGAAAAGCACCTATGGGCTCTCTGCTTATTGTCACTGGCTGAGGCCACCCTACAATAGCTGTGAAAAGAACCCATGTGGTACCTGTATGTGAGGAAGCATGGTGGTGAGGTATGGGTGCTGTTGGCTGCTGCACTTTTTAACTACAGATAGAGGCAATAGATGACCATGAGGTGGATACCAAACTTCATCTACTCAACTCATATTCCTTCTGCTATTCCTGCTGGACCACAAGCTGAAGGTGGCCCATTTGGATACCATTTTTTTTTATTATACTTTAAGTTTTAGTGTCCTTTGTAGGGACATGGATGAAGCTGGAAACCATCATTCTCAGCAAACTATGGCAAGGACATTTGGATACCATTTTAACCTCTCAGTTAGATCATCTAACATTGACCTAAAGTTGATAGTTAACCTGTTTCCTATTTTTAAAGATAAAAGCCTCTTAATATAAACTCTTTCCTGACCTGGAAAGACACCTGGAAGCTGTTGAAATATTTTCCGGCCTTTTTGAAAGGCACATATTTGTCTGTGTAGTCCTACTCTGCATCAGAACATAAGGATAAAAAACCCTGAAGGTCTTCTAGGTATGCATAGACAGTGAAAAAGTTTGTAAAGGGACAGTTAGCTAATGCATGGTCCAGGAAAAGCCTGCAGCTGCCTCTAAAACAAATGAAATTGAAAAGGAACTTTCTGGTGATGTCAGCTGGAAAAAACAACTGAGAATCATCTTTGTTTTCACCTTTCTTTGAAAGCTAGAGCATATTTTATGGAACAAGTAGCTTTTTGATTGTATCTAAGTAAAATTTCTGCATGAATTCTTTGAGATAGTAATAATATGTTTGTGTTGGATACTTATTTGTGGTTGGTAGTTCTCCAGTAATTTAGTTGTAATAGCTTTTTAAGGCATCTATGCTGAGACACCTAGTTTCTCCAAATTGTTTCTTTAAAATATTGCTTTATAGTTATAACCCTTTTTCAATTGTACATAATACTATTTTCTATTTAGTTATAGATGTCCTGTTTTTTTTTAAAGGGAATTTTTATTGACGTGTAACACATACATCAAAGTTTGTAAAAATTGTAAATATACAGCTGGACAAATGATCATAAAGTGAATGCTCCTAGTTAAGCACTATTCAGATTAAGAATTAAAATATTACCATAATCCAATTATTTTTATTTCCTCCTTTCTCTACAAAGAAAATCAGTATCTGGACTTTGATAGATGAGACTCAAGAAAATTATTCTTACAAGTTGCAAAGAGAAACGGGGCCTAAATTAAAAACAAAGGAACGGAGTCAAAATGTGTATTGATGGTTACGTTTGTAAGAAGAATAGAGAAGAAGAAAAAGTAACACATGACTGCCTGGTTTCTCACTTGGGTAATGAGATGGGTGATGTCAATACAGCAGGAGGGGGTCTCAGGTTAGGAAAAGGGGGAGGACATGACGAATTCACTCTGGACAATGTTGATTTTGAGATGTCTTTGGGAAATACAGGTACCTGCATGAGTATGGAGCCTAATGATACCATTAAGGGCTGGAGATGAATAAGATTTATAGTTATCAGTCTGAAATAGGTGGTTGTAGAAACCATGAAATCAATAGCTAACTCAGAGGAGATAGTGCATGTAGAGTGGGGAGGAGAGTGGGCCAAACACAAGGCACCAAGATATAAAGGACAAACAAAGGGAGAAGGAATAATAAATGAACTCAGCAAACTATTATCAGAGACGTAGGAAGAAAAGCAGGACAGAGAACCGTAATCAAACCAACGAGATAAGTATTTTGAGGAAGGAGACACAGCAGTGTTAAAGTTAGAGAAAAGATTTCTTAGAAAAATGTATTCATTACATTGGGACATTAGAACCTCATGGTTTCTGTTGAGTAGAAGGGAAAGAAGCCAGATTTCAGTGATCTGAGAAATGAATATACCTTGCTCTTGAGATGTTTAGATAAGAAAGAAAAGAGAAAAATTGCAGGGCTTAAAGCGACTGAAGGACCAAAGTACATTTAAAAAATTATGGGTGTTTCACTGCACGTAGGCTGGAAAGTCAGGGCTGTATTGTGGCGGAAGGAACTGGGGCTGGGCTGATCTTGAAGAAAGAGAGGTCAAAAGGTTAATAGATTGAGAAAATTTGAAGCTGTGCTCAGAGATTGCTAGAAGAGTAGCAATTCTGGCTAATTGCAGGATTCTTTGCTTTCTGTATAATGCTTTTCTGAAATATATGAATTTTTATAGTAGTACAGTATAGCATTATTCTTATAATCAGCATAGCATTATAATCAGAAAAGCAATAAAGATTAAAATAAAGATGTGATGAAAAACACTGAATTTTCTGTAATGATTTAAGAAAATCAGAGGAAGTAAAGTCCTGAAAATATGAAATTAGATGACTGAATATTCTTCCTACACATTTGTTACTTAAATGAAAAATGCTTATTTAAAAACCAAGAATTAATACTATTTGTGTAAGGCATCATTCTGATTTTTTTAAGTTCATAAAGGAGCATTCCTTGGTAGGAAGACAGTTTTCTAAATATCTAGATCATGTAATTCATTAGAAAACACTATTCTAAGAAGACTGCATTGAAGCATTAATCATCTATTATTTTCTTTCTCTGCAAAGTATTATTTGTAGCATAATTTGCTTGATTCAGTACTATGTTTAATAATTCCAAAAATAACCAATTGATTCTGGCAAAAATTTGACAAGGGAAAGGATTTGGCAGAAAGTAATGTTATACTTCATGAACTAGTGCCTCGTACCACTCAATCATTTGTTTTCCCTTTGCTAGGTTGTCCCTTTTGGTCTAGCTCTGCAGCTAGAAAATGAAACATGGAAAATGACAAACTATTCATTATACATAAATGATGGTAAAAGCAAGACCCTTAAGTAAAGTCACAGAATATTACAAAATCATGCAAAGTTCTAGTGACCTTTCTCCACCCTCCTTTCCTTTCCTCTTTCCTCCTTCCTGCACTGGACAGAATTGGGACAGAATGTCCAATGTCCTGCTGAGCAGTGTACTAAGATAATTGTACTAAATCTGAAGTAGTCAGGTCCAGCCTTTGCTGTTCTGAGATGGACACTGTGATACCTCCATGATCCCTGTATCCAGGATGGCCAACAGTCTTTATTTTGGTTGCAACTCTGATCACTTGGTCTTGGCTGCTTGCGGGGACACTGTAACTAATGGGCTGAAAGTAGAAAGAGTGTTGTGATTGTGGTCATGTCTGGCAAAGGCAGATAGGGTAATGGTGATCTGTAAACTGAAAGGTAAAAATCACAGTGCCTCTGCCCTGGAAGACAGCACACCATGGAGATACTGCTCCTTGGACCAGCATAAGCTCATGATGGGCACAGTCTGAGAGGTTTGGGATCAGGGGATCTTCTTGGGTGGGAGAAGATGTGACAGGAAATTCCCTGGATCTGGGCTCAAGTCTTGGTGCTGCTACCTTCCAACTGTGTGACATTGAGTAATTCATGTAATCTTTCATCAGCAGTAAAGAATGAGGGTAATAATAATTTTCTTTTCTTGTGTATCAAAGTATTTAAAAGGATTACTTGGTTCTGTATATTGGTGAGACATGCCTTTGTAAACTCTCAAGCACTATTCAAATTAAAAAACATACTAGTAATGGCATAGCTATGACATTCACAATTAGCATTTATTGCATTTTGCATTAAATTATAGCTATATGAGGGTTACATAACAAGTGCTTTGAGAGATCATTTCCTGTTGAAGAGGCAAGGAAGGCTTCATGGAAAAGACAGTGTTTCAGCTGGCCCTTGAAGTTTAGATAGGAATTTGGCAGTTGCAGATAGAAAGACTCTTCCAGTAGAGAAAACTGTGTGAGCCAAGGCCTAAAGTAAAGAAAATACAAACTATTTAAATAATAAACAAACCATGGAAGTTTATATGGTTCTTTATGATTTGCAATGTATTTTCACTGATTGGGAACAATAATTAATGCAATTTTTCTATAGCATGGAGTGGAGATAGATACAGGCTGGAGATAGATAAGGTTGGAGATCAGTTTAGGATCATATTTTGAAGAAATGTGAATGCGTTTTAAAGAAATTTACATAGAAATGGACATCTAGATAAAAAATAGAATGACAAGAGATTCAAATTCTTAGTTGTTACAGTGGAAATACAGTATTGATTTTGTATGTTGATAGGTTATATGTTTCACAGGTTTTATTTACACCTCTTTTCTAAGATACTTTCTTATAACTGCACAATTTGCAAGTCTTTAACGATGCCTTTTGTACCTAATCCTTCTTCTTTACCTGGGTATATGTGCTTCGTACCTTGGTACTTTGCCAAAGGGCTGCCAGATTCACTTACTGCTCTGATCATCCCATTTCAAACTCCTGCAAGGATTTTCCATTGCTTTCTAAATAAGGTTTGGACTTCTTAGCTTAGCATTCAACTTATCCCACTGCAACTTGCCTTTCAAGTCCCATCTCTGATTATTCTGACCCTGTATTTCAACCATTCTGTTTTCTTTCTCTCTTCTCAAAACACAGCTTGACCATTCATGCCATTCTCACCTATCCACACAGTCCCTTCACGTATGTCTAAGTTGTACCTATTATTTAAGAATGAACTCAAATGCTAGTTGCTTCCCTGGCTCTCACACCTGGAATTGATTACTCTTGCCTTTAACCCATAATAGCAAACACTTATAGTTAGCTTACTATGTGCTCGGCACTATACTCAACCCTTTACATAAATCAACTCATTTCACCCTCACAATGCCTTCTATAAGTCAGATATAATTGTTTCTAATTTACAGATGGGAAAACCAAGTCATATCACCCAAGGCTACACAGCAAATAACTGGTGCAGTTGTCTAACTGAGACACATTGACATCAGTATTTGTGCTGCTAAATGCTATGTTATGCTGTCTCTTCTGCAGTCTTCTTTCTTATGAAACTTAATATTTCTCATTTGTTTGCTTGTAGATTTACCCTACTTGTCTGCTTTTCCTGATCCCAGGCCTTTTACCTTGGTGAATTCACCTGTAGCAATTGGAAATGCATTTATTATGAGAGAACTCTGATATCCTGTTCTGATGATGGCCAAAGTCCTCGTAATTTTTGTCGTAGTCTCATCTTGGTCCTTAACTCTTGCTCCGTGGCTGCATTTACCTTACCTTTGTCTTTGTCTCATATTTTGGCATTTGTATTTGCTTCTTGTACCTGTTGACAAATTTAATTTCTCATATTTTTTCTTCTTTTCTTTGGGCACATTTTGAGACATTTCGGCCCTTCTTAAGTTGCTGTTATATCTGGCTCTAGCCCACAGATCCTGGGCTGACACGGGCCCACATGGCTGGCACTTTCTCCTCATCTTTTCTTGGGAGAAAGAGTAAGAATCTGCTAGACTACACATTTCTAAAGGCAGGGATTGTGTCAGCCTTGTTTCCCACACAATAAGGATGGTGTTTTGTACTTAGAAGCTCAATAATCTTTTGCTGAATGAAAGAATGAGCAAATGAAAGAGGCCACTGTCTGCATAGTCTTCCTTGACTGCCAGTTGAAACTTCTCTGAGGAGTTTCACTCTTAACCTATTTCTTGTGTTACCTTTATGTTTAACTCAGATTCAGCCTCAGGTCTCCAAATCTTGAAGATCCTGGTATTAGAAAGCGGAGTTAAAATAGCAGGTTTTACATTCTCACCAACAGTGTACAAGGCTTCCAATTTCTCTGCATCCTTGCCAACCCTTGTTTTCTTTTGTCTTTTTGATAATGGCCATCCTGAAAGGTGTGAGGTATATCTCATTGTGGTTTTGATGCGCATTTCTCTGATGATTAGTGATGTTGAGTGTGTTTTCATATACCTGTTGGCCATTTCTTTGGAGAAATGTCTATTCAAGTCCTCTGCCAATTAAAAAAGTTTTTTGTAATTGACACATAATAATTGCACATGTTTATGGGGTACATTGTGATGTTTCAATATATGTATACATTGTATAATGATCAAATCAAGGTAATTAACATATTCATCATCTCAAACCTTTATCTTTTCTTTGTGGTAATAACTTTCAGGATCCTCTTTTTTTAGCTATCTTGAAATATATGATACGTTGTTATTTGCTATAGTTACCCTACTATGCAAAAAGATGCCAGAATTTATTCTTCTTTTCTAACTAAAACTTTGTACCCATTGACTAGCCCCTCCTCATTCTCTTCTTTCCTTTTCCTCGCAATACAGTACCGAGCAAAACTATCCTTCAAATATGAAACAGAGATAGACTTTCCCAGACAAACAAAAACTAAGGGAATTCATCAACACCCAACTTATCTTATAAGAAAAGCTAAATGCGCTGGGCATGGTGGCTCATGCCTATAATCCCAGCACTTTGTGAGGCCGAGGTGGGTGGATCACCTGAGGTCGGGAGTTCAAGACCAGTTTGACCAACATGGAGAAACCCCATCTCTACTAAAAATACAAAATTAGTTGGGCATGGTGGTGCATGTCTGTAATCCCAGCTACTTGGGAGGCTGAGGCAGGAGAATCACCCGAACCCGGGAGGCAGAGGTTTTGGTGAGCTGAGATTGCGCCATTGCACTGCAGCCTGGGCAATGAGAGCGAAACTCTGCCTCGAAAAAAAAAAAAAAAAAAAGAAAAGCTAAATGGATCTTTTTTTCAATCTGAGAGAAAAGAACATGAATGTGTACCAAGAAAACATCTGAAGGTATAAAACTCACTGGTGAAAGTAAATACGCCAACAAATTCAGACTATTCTAATACTATAATTGTGGTATGGATATCTTTATACACTTATATCTTGAGTATGAAGATTAAAAGACAAAACTATTAAAGAATATCACTACAAAAGTTGGCTAAGATATACAAAATGTAGAAGATGTAAATTGAGATATCAAAAAGTCAAAATGTAGGGGGAAGGAATGGTGTTAAAGTTAGAGATTTTCTTTTGTGATAAAATCAACAGTTAAAAATAACAGAAAGCATTTTAAAATCAGGTTGTTAGTTTTTTGCTATTGCATTGTAGGAGTTCCTGACATATTTTAGATATTTTAACCCCTTATCAGATATACAGTTTGCAAAGATTTTCTCCCAATCTATAGGTTACCTTCACTCTTTCCCACCCCTGGTAACCACCATTTTGCTTTCTGTTGCTTTGAATTTGACTACTTTAGATACCTCATATGTGTAGGATCATACAGTATTTGCCTTTTTAAGAAGAAGGTAGATTTTGAGCTAGGTCTTTAAAGACAGGTGGGACTAAACAGGCAGAGATAATAGAAGCTAAATAAGGTAAATAAATTAAGATAGTGTGAAAAGGTATGTTTCCCTAACATGTGCTGAGAGAGGTAGGAGCCCAAGAATAATGCTTCTTATTCATTTTCCTCAGGGCAAATTTCTCTTAAGTTGTGCATATTTTGGGTGCTGTTCACTGTGTCTGCCTATATCTGACTTTACCTGGAAGTTCTTAATTCAGGGAGAATCATCATTTGGGCATTAGTTATATCTAAGGCTCATTAGTGTAAGTCATGGTCTAGAGGGCAAAAAAGTACCTGCCTAGGGCCAAAAAGCTTCGATACTTGGGTTTCTTATATTTAAACATCAACTGTTACAGAATGGAGTATTTTGATTTGGCTTTGAAATGACAGGTTATGTTCTATTGTTTTAAAGAAAAAAAGCATTGCTATAAGCAATCTACATACAGGTTTATGTAATAATGAATGCAGGTACATGTATAACAAATTTCATCAGGTGTTTTACTGTTGGATTGTTCATTTAATCATCAATTCCACGTCATTAGGAATTGGTAAATATTTTTATTTATGGTTTGCAAGAGACAAGGCTTTGACATTGTTATGGTTCTTTTAGGCACAATATCTTCTCCTTGAGTTTTGTGCTCAATCCTACTGAACCGCTTATGTGATTTCCCTTCATGTTACAGCAGAAATAGACCTCACATGCGGGACTATCAGAAGTTGTTATGTTGCCTTAGTGTGAATTAGAAAATACGGATTCTTCATTCCCTTTGAATACTGGCACAAGACAGGGATGCCCTCTCTCACCACTCCTATTCAACATAGTGTTGGAAGTTCTGGCCAGGGCAATCAGGCAGGAGAAAGAAATAAAGGGTATTCAATTAGGAAAAGAGGAAGTCAAATTGTCCCTGTTTGCAGATGACATGATTGTATTTCTAGAAAACCCCATCGTCTCAGCCCAAAATCTCCTTAAGCTGATAGGCAACTTCAGCAAAGTCTCAGGATACAAAATCAATGTGCAAAAATCACAAGCATTCTTATACACCAATAACAGACAAACAGAGAGCCAAATCATGAGTGAACTCCCATTCACAATTGCTTCAAAGAGAATAAAATACCTAGGAATCCAACTTACAAGGGATGTGAAAGACCTCTTCAAGGAGAACTACAAACCACTGCTCAATGAAATAAAAGAGGATACAAACAAATGGAAGAACATTCCATGCTCATGGGTAGGAAGAATCAATATTGTGAAAATGGCCATACTGCCCAAGGTCATTTATAGATTCAATGCCATCACCATCAAGCTACCAATGACTTTCTTCACAGAATTGGAAAAAACTACTTTAAAGTTCATATGGAACCAGAAAAGAGCCCGCATCGCCAAGTCAATCCTAAGCCAAAAGAACAAAGCTGGTGGCATCATGCTACTTGACTTCAAACTATACTACAAGGCTACAGTAACCAAAACAGCATGGTACTGGTACCAAAACAGAGATATAGATCAATGGAACAGAAGAGAGCCCTCAGAAATAACGCTACATATCTACAACTATCTGATCTTTGACAAACCTGTCAAAAACAGGAAATGGGGAAAGGATTCCCTATTTAATAAATGGTGCTGGGAAAACTGGCTAGCCATATGTAGAAAGCTGAAACTGGATCCCTTCCTTACACCTTACACAAAAATTAATTCAAGATGGATTAAAGACTTAAATGTTAGACCTAAAACCATAAAAACCCTAGCAGAAAACCTAGGCAATACCATTCAGGACATAGGCATGGGCAAGGACTTCATGCCTAAAATACCAAAAGCAATGGCAACAAAAGCCAAAATTGAGAAATGGGATCTAATTAAACTAAAGGGCTTCTGCACATCAAAAGAAACTACCATCAGAGTGAACAGACAACCTACAGAATGGGAGAAAATTTTTGCAATCTACTCATCTGACCAAGGGCTAATATCCAGAATCTACAATGAACTCAAATAAATTTACAAGAAAAAACAAACAACCCCATCAACAAGTGGGCAAAGGATATGAACAGACACTTCTCAAAAGAAGACATTTATGCAGCCAAAAGACACATGAGAAAATACTCATCATCACTGGCCATCAGAGAAATACAAATAAAAACCACAGTGAGCTACCATCTCACACCAGTTAGAATGGTGATCATTAAAAAGTCAGGAAACAATGGGTGCTGGAGAGGATGTGGAGAAATAGGAACACTCTTACACTGTTGGTGGGACTGTAAACTAGTTCAGCCATTGTGGAAGTCAGTGTGGCAATTCCTCAGGGATGTAGAACTAGAAATACCATCTGACCTAGCCATCCCATTACTGGGTATATACCCAAAGAATTATAAAACATGCTGCTATAAAAACACATGCACACGTATGTTTATTGTGGCACTATTCACAATAGCAAAGACTTGGAACCAACCCAGATGTCCAACAATGATAGACTGGATTAAGAAAATATGGCACATATACACCATGGAATACTATGCAGCCATAAAAAATGATGAGTTCATGTCCTTTGTAGGTACATGGATGAAGCTGGAAACCATCATTCTTAGCAAACTATCGCAAAGACAAAAAACCAAACACCACATGTTCTCACTCATAGGTGGGAATTGAACAGTGAGAACACGTGGACACAGGAAGGGGAACATTACACACTGGCGACGGTTGTGGAGTGGGGGGAGGGGGGAGGGATAGCATTAGGAGATATACCCAATGTTAAATGAAGAGTTAATGGGTGCAGCACACCAACATGGCACATGTATACATATGTAACAAACCTGCACGTTGTGTACATGTACCCTAAAACTTAAAGTATTAAAAAAAAAGTTAAAATACAAAAAACAAAAAAGAAAATAGGGCTTCTTCATTAAGATGCAACTTTTATCTGATGGAATATTGTCTTGATAGAGCAAAAACACTTGTTGCCATCTGCTAGAACATTATATTAATAACTCAGCCAACTATGTGAATGATGGCCTCTAGGGTTACACAGTGCACATTGCACAATTGTATCCAATTATCCTTCAAAAGCACAATGACAGCAAACAGCAAATGGAGCAGCCTACCTGGGTCAATTTCTTTGGAGTCATTGGGATTAAGAGGAGTAGAGTTGTATCCTTTAGATGTGTCAAAGGGCAAAGACAAGATGGAAAGCCAGAACTTGAGTCTCAGTATTACAGGATACACAGAAAATAAGAGCTAAATATGGGACCAAATGGGGGACTAGGATATTGAAGTTGCCAAAAGCCAGGAGTTGGGTAGACAAATGTAATTCATTTATGCAGAAATTTTGAATAAGGAATGTAGCTTGCCCATTTATCCCTGAATTCCATCTTTGCTCAGCTACTGCTGCAGCCATCTCCATTCTTTCCCCACTCTCCTGAGTCATTTCCACCAGCAGACCCACCTGTTGTAATCCCGTCTTACAAATTCCTCCCTTGATCCCACGTCTTTTAGATTCTGCCACATTTCTCCACTCCCTTTTATAGCAAAAGTCCTCCAAATAGTTGCCTGTATGTACAGTTTCTACCTTCACACTCTTGAAAGCATACCAGCCAGCAAAATCTTTCTTAGGAAGTCAGCAATGACCTGCATGTTGCCAATCAAATGGATCCACTCTTAGTCTACATGTTCTTGAACCATCATGTGTAGTTAGCATATCTGACCACACTCTCCTTGGAACAATTTATTTTTAAACTTCTCAGCCACCACAGTCTCCTACTTTTCTTCCTGTTTCGTCGATCCTTTCCTTCTCAACTTCCTTTCCTGACTTCCCCTGCTCTACTTCACCTCAAATTTTGGGGTACTCCAGGATTTGTGTCTGGCCCTTTTCTACTCTCTGCATACATTTTCTCCAGTAATTCCATCTCAATCACTTTCTAAGTGATTTCATCCAGCTTTGTAGCTTTAAAATATCACTCATGATTAACTCCCAAGTGTATACACCTGGCCCACACATGGATTCCCTACTGCCTATGTGCCCATGTAACAGGCATCTCAAATAGCCCAGCAGGCAGGGGACTGGACACAGTACTAATTGCAGCCTGTGCCCTATTTTTCAACCACTCTGGCAATACTGGTGAAGGAATGAATAATAATAATAACAATATTCAGTGCTTACTTTGTCCTGGGTACTTTACATATAAAAATATTTAATCCTCATAGCAAATCAATTAGGTAACATCATTATTTTCATCTCTGATTTACATAAGAGGAAATCGAGGCTCAGAGAGGTTCAAGCCCAATGGGCAGGGCCAGTGTTTGAATGGAATAATCAGAAATTAGCAAACATTTTTTGTAAAGGGTCCATTCATAAATATTTTCAGCTGTGTGGTGCATTCTGCCTCTATTGCTATAACTCACATTTGCTCTTGTAGTGTGCAAAGCAGTCACAGACAATATGTAAATGAACACAAA
This sequence comes from Homo sapiens, assembly GCF_000001405.40. Taxonomy (NCBI): domain Eukaryota; kingdom Metazoa; phylum Chordata; class Mammalia; order Primates; family Hominidae; genus Homo; species Homo sapiens. The sequence continues at coordinate 77,148,306 of NC_000012.12, forward strand.
GTTGTGTTCCAGTAAAACTTTATTTATGAAAACCAGTGGTGAGTCACATTTGACCCACATGTGACCCACTACCTGATTTCATTAATAAAGTTTATGAAACTTTATTTATGATTGTAATAAAGTAGTAGATTGCCAACCACTGCTTGAAACCATTATTCTTGTATTGCTTGGATTAAATGAATGACTGAACAAGTGAAAGGACCAATGAATGAATGAATGACTCCTCTTTGGTCTCCTCAATCCTCTCATGGGTATTCAGAAGATTGTTACAGAATCACATTACTACCAAGGGTGAAAACACCACAATCTGTCTTTAGGGTGAAATGAGGAATACATGAATGACAAACCTTACAGGTTTACTGTTTCGGCTCCTGAGTTGGGTCAGGTCAGCAGTGTTCTAGCTCCCTGAGGCTCTACTTCTATGACAAAGAACTGCAAACTATAACTTTCTATTTGGGGATCCTTTTCCCCCTAGGGGAAAATATATGTGAAAAGAGCTTGAAATGATTGTGGAAAGAGCTTGACTTTGGAGTTAGACTAAGTTCACATATCATGAGCTTGACTTGGAGTTAGACTAAGTTCACATATCATTTTTTTCCCGCTTTTTAACTTCTCTGAGGTTCCATTTCCTGATCTGTAAAATAGGGATAAGAATACATATGCTGCAAGATTGTATCAGTACTGAAAGGGGTTAGGGTTCATTTGCCCAGCATAGTGTCTTGATCTGGTAGGTCCTAATCACAAATAGTAGCCACCGTCGTTAAGTCCTATCATAACCCTTTAATAACCACTTTAAGGGACAGCAGTATGTAGGGCTGCTCAGAAAGCAAAATGTCTGTCTAGAGTGAATTTAATTACAACATCAACTTGCATCCTCACAGCAGCAACTTCACATGGGGATTGTTCGTCTGCACTGGTGGATTTCTGATCTCTAGTAGCGCTGAGGTAAATGTACAAGGCTCTAAAGTTCCCATAAGCACATTTTCTCAGGTCAGTCTTTGCCATTTAAATGCAAAGCATGCAATCCTCCCTCCCTCAACACACACACCAGAGAATTTCTCTATTTATTATGTTTTACGTTAATTTGCCATTGTTTGGGAGTACACAAGGTGTGACAGCCTGATTACTAAGTCAGATTGTATATGTGTGTGTGTGTGTGTGTGTGTGTGTGTGTGTGTGTGTGTGTATTTGAGATGGAGTCTCCCTCTGTCACCCAGGCTGGAGTGCAGTAGTGCAATCTTGGCTCAATGCAACCTTCACCTCCCAGGTTCAAGCAATTCTCCTGCCTCAGCCTCCTGAGTAGCTGGGATTATAGGTATGTGCCACGACACCTGGCTAATTTTTGTATTTTTAGTAGAGACGGGGTTTCACCATGTTGGGCAGGCTGGTCTCGAACTCCTGACCTCAAGCGATCCACCTGCCTCAGCCTCCCAAAGTGCTAGGATTACAGGAGTGAGCCACCCTGCCTGGCCAGATAATATTTTTTTATTACAAAATAACACCGGGATAAGTGCTATTGTTACTTTCAGCTTCTCCTCTTTAATATTGAAATTCACTCAGAAGTTAATTGGTTGACAGAAGAGCTAATCACCCAAGAGGAGTGTTTGAGCAAGGGTATTCTTCCTCTGGTGGTTGGCTGTGAGGCTGGGGAGGAAAGCATTACAGGTGTTTTCCATGGTTGCCAATTTCCCTAATGTCTTGGGTGCTGCAAACTGATTTTCCTCTGCCAGCACTTTTAGTTTACAAGATGATTCTTGCATAAAACCCTGCTGGTTACATTTATGAGAACATATGCAAAATTAAACCAGTGACCCAGTAGTCAAATAAAATTTCCCATAAATTGTTGAGCTTGTTCTTTGCTTTTCTTAAAGCAAATGAGCACTTTGTCTATTAATTTTCCAAATAAATGCTCTTGTAACAAATATAAGCTTTATGGGTCCAGAATGGGGTGCAAGCAACAAAACTGCACCCTCCCAGTGAGATCAAAGACCTCCCTCTGTTTACTGGACACAGGTTAGGGCCCCCATGCCTGGTTCTACTAACACAGGCCCAGCATCTGTGGCAGCACCTCGGGACATTGCTTACTACGCCAGGGCTCAGAATAAATTGGACATAAGGTCTCATGATAATTTCACTTCACCCAGGCAGGACTCAGGTAGAACCTGCTCCATATGGTGACTTGTGTTAAGCAAATAAGATGCCTTATTTAGCACCAACAGGAGCCTCTGCATTTCTTCCTGGGTGCACTAGTAAAGAACACAGATGTCAGTCAACACTCTGTTAAGATACTGGGGGAAGAGAGAATGAGAATATAAATGCATAGAATGTCTTTAATTGTGCTATCCAACCAGATTTTTCACAGAACTTTTGGCTCATGGTAAAATCTTGGGATTCTACCATTCTAGTCACTTTTGAGGAGTTCTTGCATTTGTTGTTACCACCATCATCATTATCAATCATTTAATGAACTAACCTGTAAGGTGTTATGGCAGGAACTGTGGAGGATCCCCAAAAAGAAATAGGAGACATAATCCTTGCCAGAGATCCCATCCTCACCTAGGAATGGCCATTGCTGAGTGGGGGCTGGGGAGGCTGCAGGAAGATGATAGTGAGAAGGGAGCTCTTTAGCTCCTTGAACTCAGATAATTTGGGATTTTGGGACATATCTCCAAGAATCCTATTTACGCAGAACACACATATCTCTTTGGAGACCTGGGTGGGGAAAAGGGGACTGTGGTACTGGTGAGTCAGGGTTCTAAGCCCTTGAGTATTTCTAAGGCTGTTGAATGAACACCAAAGTGAAAGAAATATCTCTAGTGTGAGGCAGCATATCCCGTGTATGTAGGTGTGCCCATGGGTGGCACCCAGCAGGAAGCTACATTCTGGCATTTGCTATCTGGCATTTGAGTCTATACCTGATGGTTAGGGACTAGCCTACTGCAAACAATGCTTTGATCATGAATCAGCCTCAAGTTGGCCTGGGGCCTTTTCCTTCATTCAGTTTTTCATAACATTTCCTACATCTCGCACAGAAAGATAAGACTTTCAGGTGCCTTTTACAGCAGGGAGCTGATGTGCTCAAGCACAAGAGTAGAACGTTTCCCAGCCGTTCACCCTTAGAACTAACTTTGAAATGACAAGTTCTTTCTTTTTTTTCATTTTTTCTATCTCAGCATTTATAATACTTCCTTGCACTTCTGATTTTAATCTTTCTAATAGATTATACACTTCTTGAGGACAGGAACTATACCTGTTTTCTCTGCTGTATATTCTGATTTTGACCTTCTTTCTAATAGATTATAAACTTCTTGAGGACAGGAACTGTACCTCTTTTCTCCACTGTATAGACCCAGTGCCTAGTAGAGGGGAATCCTCTTCCTCCCATTCAGTATGAATTAGCATTTAGGAAGCCTTCCCAGAATATGTAAAGGAGGCACTTCAGCCCCATTCTCCCCGATTCTTCTCGACAAGTGAATATTTCTACATTAGGACATGCAATTAAATGTGCACATGTACCCTAAAACTTAAAGTATATTAATAATAAAATTAAAAAAATCAATCAATAAATAAAAATAAATAGATAAAAATTAAATGTCAGCATGAATTGAGGAAACAAGGAATGCATTGATTCTTGATTCTAAAATTATCATATGGCAATAGCATGGCTTTGCTTTCATAGTAAGCTTGATTAATATTAATCAGCTTCTCTCTCCAGAATGCATTTCAATTAATGGAAGGAGAAGAAACTCTCAAGTGTATTGGATGAGGGACAAACTGGACTGTTAACGTTTCAACTGAAGAATTTACAAGTATGTGAAAATCTACACTATATATGCCTTGATAGAATACATGTTTACTATTTTCAATATTTATTGGCTGTTTACAGTGTGCCAAATAGTTTCTTGACAGGATGTTCCCTGAATAAGCCTATAATTTACTTTAGGTGTTTGACTATGGATGTAATTTAATGTGACAGGACAGAAAAATGACTCCATTAATCAGATTGATGTATTTGTAAATTAAAATAAATAAATCAGGATTTATGCTCCTATAGTACATTTATTATAAATAAATATTAGGAGTCTACATGTAGACTACATTAAAATAATAAATATTTTAAAGAAAAGGTCATACAAAAAGTTCACTTTCAAGTTATTTAGCTTACAGAGTTTGTCCTAAATCTTCCCATAACTAAAGAATATATTCAATATGTAGGTTGTGTTTTCTTTGGAATTTGTTGTGTTAAATGATTAGTAATTGAAACAGTACAGAACTTCCTTTGCTTTGAAGTATGTATATGTCTGGGCATATTTCTGCTGTCGTAGTTTAGAGTGATTTTTCCCCCCTTTGTTCTTACATGATTACTGCAGAATTTTTTTTTTTTAGTAAGAGAAGCTGGTTGCAAGTCCAGCAATAAAGTAGGCAAAGTAGAACTTTCAGTGAAAAACAAAATTCGCTTCTATGTGATTGACCAGAAGGAGGCTCCCTTCCACCTCAATGTGTAAAGTTAGAACAAAAGCTTCTAAACTTACATCTTCCCAGGCAGCTTTAGTTTTTCCCAAGCTGTATCTGTTGTTGGGGGTGGTAGGAGGGGGCACCCTGAAATTTTCCCTGGAGGAACAGAATTTAAAGATGCATCACTGGCAAGAAGGCTTCAGCAATTGCAAAGTACCCTACCTTCTACCAGCTCCTTCACATAATTTTCTCTCTTGGTTGAATAACTATGGAAGTAGAATGATACTTACTAGAGACTGGCAACAGTGTATGGGGGAGGGAGAAGGGATCAAGAAAGGTTGGTTAATGGGCACAAACATGCAGTTAGATAAAGTTCTAATTTTGGATAGACTAGGGTAACTACAGTGAAGAATAATGTATTGTATATTTCAAAACAGCTAGCTGAGAGGACTTGAAATGTTCCCAACACATAGAAATGATAAATGCTTGAGGTGATGGACATTCTAAATACCCTGACTTGATCAATACATATTCTGTGCATTTAACAAAATATCACAGGTACCCTATAAATATGTGCAAATATTATATATCAATTAAAAAATGAAATTCTCCTCACTAACTTTGAATATCACATTATTCCTTAACTTTGTTGCTACAGTATTGTTTTTTCAAACTTGTTCTTGAATCTCTAATACAATATTTTAAAAATTAATTTTTTGGAATGAATCAAAGCAGTTGGATTTTAAAAAACATATAGTTGCGGCTGCTACTTACCTATTTGTGTTAGTCTCTGTATCTATAAGAAACACTTCTCGTGTTTGTAACATAGGATAATCACAATTCACTCCAAATGCTCTAATTACATTGCATTTTCCAATGAAGAAGATACCAGGAGATTCTGAATGTTGAACAGTAAGTCCAAAATCTTTGGAGAGTAAAGAGGGATGTGAAGATGCACTCGTCACTGCAGGCACATTGTCCACCATAAGATGTCACGAGATCATTTTCAATCAATTAATCTTCCTGTTGTTGTCCTTCATGGTCAAGAAAGGCAATTTGTGTGTTTATTGCAAAAACAGCATTGTTGCTCTTTTGAAAAGCCTTGCCCTTTAACAACAGAGCAGAGCTGGTTATGAAATAGCCAACTGTGACTAATTTTGGAGGAGTAACATCTCAAATAAATTGTCTTCTGGAGATGCTGATGGAGTCAGTGAACAGCAGAATGATGATGAGTTTATCTGTGCTAATTGTGCCTTTGAGGGTTTGTTCATACGCAGGGTACAGAGCAGATTGGTGCTGTACTTTAAACCTCTGATTGGCATGAAGATTCTGGTTTTGGAGAACTATGGAAGGAAGAATAATGTTCCCCAAGGATGTCTGTACCAAATCCCTGCAACTTATGAATATGTTACATTACATGGCAAAAAGAGCTTTGCAGAGGTAATTAAGGTGTGGTATTAAAATGGAGAGATTATCGGGGGGGACTCAATTTAATCACATAATTTTTAAAAGCAGAGAATGTTCTCCAGATGGAGGAAGATGTAGTGGAAAGAAGGGTCAGAGAATTCAGAGAGTGACAAGTATTTGATGCACTCTTTCTGATTTTGAGATCTAAGGGGTCACATGTGAGGACTGGAGAGAAGCCTCCAGAGCTAATGATGGCCACTGATTGAGGGCCCGCAAGGAAACAGGGACCTCAGTCTTACATCCCCACAGAACTGAATTCAGCCAACAACATGAATTAGCTTGGATTAAATTTTCCCTCAGTACCCCCAGTAAAGAATGTAGCCCTGCCAACATCTTGATTTCAGCCTGCTAGTACTCATGTTAGATGGATACCCTACAGAAACTGTGATAATAAATTTGTGTTGTTTTAAGTCACTAAATTTGGGTATTTTGTTACAGTAGCAGTAGAAAACTAAAACATGGGAAATGTTTTGAGGGAAATGATGCTTATATTGCATTATTACTTTGCTGTAGACTATTATGATAAACCATGGCTTTGTGAATTCAGTTCAATGACTCTAGGCTTTAGCCATGCAGTATTAACAAATGGGATATTAACAATATTAACAAATGGGATAAAAACCAAGACTTTACAAATGTGTTAGTTTCCTATTTCTGTTTTAACAAATCACACAAACTTACTGGCTCAAAACAAAATAAAAGCATTAATTTATAGTTCTGTAGATCAGAAGTGTCATTGGGCTAAAATCAAGGTGTCAGCAGGGCTGCATTCTTTCTGGAGGCTGTAGGGGAGAATTTCATTGTCTTGTTTAGCCTCTAGAGAATGCCTGTATTCCTTGGCTTGTGGCCCTTTCTTCCACTTTCATTTTCAAAATCAGCAGCATAACGTGGACAAATGTCTTACTTCTACCTCCCTCTTATAAAATATTTTTTTGATTGCATTATTGGGTCCACCTGGATAATCCCAGACACTCTCCCCGCCTCGCCTTAACTTAATCACATTGCAAAGTGCCTTTTGCTATTTAAGGTAACATATTCATAAGTTTGGAAGTTTTAGAGCATAGATGTCTTTGGGGGGGCCTTTATTTTATTTTATTCTGCTTACCACAGTAAGTGTTTGCATGTTGGGTTAATACTGTTGAAATACTCACTATTACAATGCTCTTTCTTGGAACCAAATTGCTGTGCTGTGAGAATTTAAGTAACAACGTACAATGGCCTCTATAGAGTAGAAGAACCAAGACCTCTTGCCAACACATCCAACTGAGCTCCCTACCAGCAGCCAACAGTAGTGCCTACTATATAAGTGAGAGCACTGTAGACCTTCCAGCTAGCTCATTGCCCCAGTCATCAGCACAGAAGCCGAAATGTCTAGTCAACACACAGAACCATGAGAGATAATACATGTTTGTTGTTATTTTAAGCTCCTGAATTTTGGGAGTAGTGTGTTATACAACAAAGAATACTTAAAATAACACTGTAGCCTGTTTTGTAAGTGAGCTAACTATTAGAAATTAAAGAATTCTGCTTAGAGTAATATAGGTTCTTCTATCACATATTCAGGATTAAATTGATGACATAGGTCAAAATATGTAAAGTCCTTAGCACAGGGAATGGGCACATAGCAAGTTCGCTGAGATATTAGTTACTTTTTCCCAGACAATCTTTTTGCTGCAGAGATTACCACCTACCACTCCAATAAAAAGGAGATGATTCCTTTCTGTTAGGTATATATTTAATTTCATACGTAACACAATATAGTATATTGTCTAATAATTTTACTTGGTGGTCTGTGATTTAAAGTTATGAAGCCTTAACTGAACAATACTTATTTGCTCCAAAAAATCATTTCTCTGAAAATATAACATCATAACTAAATTTTATAATATAAAGTAGAGCCTTGCATTTCATATTGTTTAATTACTCTGTCACATAAGAATCTTAGAATTTTTCTTAGTTTGTTCAATTGCTGTAAATGACTTCTGAAAGTAATATAATTATAACTTGTAATGGTAAATGCATTCATAGAATTCATGGAGCAAGCTGAATATGTAACTGTTCATTTGGAACTGAGTTGATTACCATTTGAAAACAGTTAATGGAATAGCTGATTAGAATACATTGCAAAGAATCATGATTTAATTTTACATCACCTAGAAAAAATCTGATGCCATGCGTGTTAATGGCAGTTTTGAGGGACATAAGGATTGACATATTTTCCTGAGCTAAGCAATATACGCAATGCTGGCTCAGTGAAAAACATATTTCAAAGTACATGAAGTAAGTTATACAATATAACTTTATGTGATTAAATTCATGTGAGTATTAAAAATGTGAGTGAAGTTTATAAGTAAGGTTTAAGCTCATTTAAAGCAATGCACTGTGTGATTTGGGCAGAAATCTAGCTCAATGGTGGCTTTCAAGTATTCACGGAAGACTATTTGAATAGATTATGTTCACTTCGTTTTCAACCTGCTTTTCTCCTCCCCACCTTGGAATCTCTACATTGAAGTTACAGAGACTTTTTTTTTAAACCCACAAAACTGTTATGTCATTCCATGCTTAAAGTGGTTTTCCCCTTACCTCCATATAAAGTCCAAATTCTTCAACTCAGCATAAAGGCTCTGTCTGATCTGCCACTGATGATCCTGCAGACTTAATCTCTTGAGAGTTTCCTCAACTTCTGTGGTTTCAGTCATGGAGAAGTACTTGTAATTCCCTGAAACTCTTTCCTCTCTAGGTAATGTGGCCTGGCTATTTCCTACACACCTATAAAGCCTCATTTAAGTGTCACTTCATCTAGGAAGCTTTTCTTGACCCCTTTTCCCAAGTAGCAACTCTGTGTGCACCTACGGCACCTGAGTTTCACT